>NC_000023.11:36798548-36948905 GCF_000001405.40 Homo sapiens
CTTTTGTCCTGCCTTTTGCCATATGAGGACACAGCAACAATGAACCATCTTAGAAGCAAAGGGTGAGCCTTCACCAGACACCTAATCCGTTGGTGCCTTGACTTCTAGCCTCGAGAATTGTGACAAATAAATTTTGATTATTTATAAATTATGTAATCTGTGGTTTTTTTTTTTACAGCAGCAGGGACAAACTAAGATATGCATTTTACCGTAATAAGAAAAAGAAGAAATTAGACTTATGTCCTGAGTCCGCCTGAGTCATTGCAGGCAAATTTTCACTTCCTCACTCTGATAGAACTTAAACTATTTATTTTCTGGTGAGATTTAATTTGAGAAAATCAGTTCTTGGGTAAGTAAACAAAGCTGATGATGAGATCCTGCATAACAATAAGCTTATGAAGTGAGTGTCTGTATATAGAATAGTTAAGATCCCAAGCATCTATCCCCTTATGACCGCACTTGTTCTCCTAAACTGGACAGGGTGTTTTACAGCACCTGATCAAAATGTAGGGAGAAAATTCTATTTGAGGAAATTTGATGAATCCCAGAGAAACTATTCATATAGATAATTGACAATTAAGGGTATATCAAATATGTGATTTTTCCATTCGTTATTTGCCTATGGTAACACTCGCCTGTCTAAAAGACCTACGAGAACATGCTGAATTTATAATACATTTTGTAAAGCATCACTCTAAAATAAGTAGCAATAATTCATGATGAAATTGAGATAAATTGAAAGAAAAAATCAAAACCAAGCAAAAGGGGGAAAAATCTTTCTTGAAAAATGATACAACAGAGAAGCTGGTAGAAAACTTGTATCTTTGAAATAATAGGAATTTTCATCCATTAAACAAAGCTAAACTAGGAACATTTAAAAAACAAGAAATAATATTTGGAAATTACATATATACACATACATATATATAGTTTTGTGTTTTTTTTTTTGAGATGGAGTCTTGCTCTGTCACCCAGGTTGGGGTGCAGTGGCATGATCTCAGCTCACTGCAACCTCCACCTCCCAGGTTCAAGTGATTCTCCTGCCTCAGCCTCTCGAGTAGCTGGGATTACAGGTACCCGCCACCACGGCCGGCTAATTTTTGTATTTTTAGTAGAGATGGGGTTTCACCATGTTGGCCAGGGTGGTCTTGAACTCCTGAGCTCAGGTGATCCGCCCGCCTTGGCCTCTCAAAGTGCTGGGATTACATGCGGGAGCCACTGTGCCAGGCCTAAAAAATATTTTATGAAAAATAAAATATAAAATGTTGGAAGATAATGTTAAGGATCTACTAAAGAAAATAGAAAAAGAAAAAGAATAATGAAATTAGGGTGATTTTATAGAAAATTTTCCATCAGGAACAGTCAGGGGTGAGGGTGAAATGCATGGAAAATAATTAGTTAAAAAATATGCAAAAATTTCCCAAAATAACTATATGACTTTCTAGAATAATAGAGCCTAGTGAATGCCAAACACATTAGATAAGGAAAAGTCAAGTAATACAACACGACCACCAATAACAACTGTTTGGGGCTGTTTAGGCATTTACTCTCTGAAGACCTAAATTCCAAGATAGATTCACTGGCACTACTTGATACAAAATTGAGTAAGAGGTATTCTTTGCCCTACCTCAGCCCTATTTGCATGGACCTAGTCAACAAGAAAAAAATATCAGTGAATGGTAATTGGTGGTGCCATAAGGAATGATATTAGTAAAGGAGATGTTAGTAAAGAGATATTTTTAAACTGTATGATGCTTCTTTCAGTTCGCAGTTGCCTACTTTACTGCTCATGCAGTGGACCCAGTTTGGGCCCTTTGGTATCCTTTTAGACTATTTCCTTCATGTACCTCAATAGCAACAAAGCAGATACAGGACTTACTGACAGGTGAAGAGGCACAAAGTAGGTTATTCCTACCATCCTATCTGTTAGCATAGGCCTCTTACTAACTGATAGTTCTGCAAGAATACCTTGACAATTTTGCTTTGCTTTACTAGGGTGAAAAATTGCCCTAATTGTTTAAATGGCCTGTTCAAGTGGGGATTAGAGAAACAGCAAAGGACATTTTTCCCAAATATTTCAACAAATAAATAATGAATTAGAAATGGTGTTTGTAATGTCTATGTCTGATGGTTAATTGTATGTGTCAACTTGACTGGGCTAAGGGATGCCCAGACAGCTGATAAAACTTTATTTTTGTTTGTGTCTGTGAAGGTATTTTGGGAAGAGATTAGTACTTGAATAGGTAGACTGAGTAAAGATTTCCTTCGCCAATGTGGGTGGGCATTATCTAATTCACTGAGGGCCTGAATAGAACAGAAAGGAGGATGACTGATGATATGGTTTGGATCTGTGTCTCCACCCAAATCTCATGTTGCAATATAATCCCAAATGCTGGAGGTGTAGCCTAGTGGGAGGTGATTAAATCATGGGGGCAGTTTCTAATGGTCTAGCACCATCCCCCTAGTCCTGTTCTTATGATGGAGTTCTGGTGAGATCCGGTTATTTAAAAGGTGTGTAGCACCTCTCCCATCTCTCTCCTCCTCCTGCTCTGGCCATGTAAGATGTGCCTGTTTCCCCTTTGCCTTCCACCATGATTTTAAGTTTCCTGAGGCCTACCCAGGCAGATGTCAGTATGATGCTTCCTGTACAGCCTGTGGAACTATGAGTCAATTAAACCACTTTTCTTTATAAATTACCCAGTCTCAGGTATTCCTTTACAACAGTGCAAGAATGGACTAATACATAAAATTGGTACTGAAGAGTGAGGCATTGCTATAACACTTACAGTCCTAAGGAATCTTGACTGTGTTCTGTCAAAATTCCAGCAATGTATATATACTATTTTCTTGTTACTTTGGATACCTATCACAAAGTTCCTTAAGCTTCATTGGTCAATTGCTGAAAAAGAATTGTGTTACTCAGGCACTTTTGCCAAGAACTGGAGACATTACACCAGGCAAAAACATTGTGTTTGAAATATTGTATTCTTTGTTCAGAAATGTTAAATGTCAATTCTAGAAACAAAATTAACTAAACTGAAAGAAAATTAAACCAAGCTGCTCATGATGCCACTTGGGGGTGTTTTGAGCCAGCGATCATTTGATTTGGCATCATGTTATGATTCCAACAGGATTGATCCTGCTGTGCTGCAGCTATTAAAAAACCACAGAAAACCCTTTATTTCTTCCCTTTATAATTGTAGCCACCCGAGGCCCAAGATATAAAGTGGGGGTATTTAAGTTATAATTTTGCACAGAAGGGAGTCCTCTGCTCTGTTGCTTTCTGCCTTCGTGGCATGACTGGTTTGCTACAGTTTTCTTTTAATAATTTTATAAATCTTGCAATTTGTTTTGTTAATTAGCAACTGAGCCCAATTTGAATTGTGTACCCCACAGACCATAGCGTAATGCAAACCAGTATGACTGCCTGTAATTTACTCCACCTTTTATGGTGCTCTTGTCCTATTTGGTCATGTTTAGAATCCTTTACCACCAATGCAACTTACCTACTTCTTCCACTAACACAACTCTTCTGATCTTTTCTCCATGTTACCCTATCAGCCAGTCCCAAGGGCAGGAAAATTCTACATTTTAGTTTAGTTGAAGACCCCTTTCCAACATGATCTTCCTAAAACCCAAGTCAACAAAGTTGAGGTATGAGATAGATATTGTTGAATAAAATGACCTGGAAAAAGAGGTATTTACATTGATGCCAAGAACATGAGTAAGCAATCCTTGCTGGTGTGGGACTGTAAGACAGAGAGTAACTGTTAATTGGTTTCTAAAGTTTTCTTCTGAAACAATGACATTGGAATTGTAGGGGAGTTTCAACTTACTATACTGGTTGATTTGCATAATAGATAACTGTCAAACATAGGTAGTTTGGATTACTTTTACATGATTACATTTAATATTGCACCCATTCATCTTCCTGGTTTGATCTTGAAATTATTTGTTGGCTATTTATGTTGATTAAATTACGCATTACATTTTCTTATTACCATCTGTTGTTCCATCCTGGATTACACTTGAATGATCTCTCATCCCCTCAGACTTAGAGCGATCCATTGCTACATTTCAAGTGTGAATACTTTTGTATAATTAAGATTTTGGATTGGACTTTGAATGGCTCTACCTTCTCCCTACTATGAAGGGCTGCTAGTCAATGAATTGTCTTTGAACACAGACATTCACAGGTCCCCAAAACAATGTAATCTTTGTGTAATTCCTGATAAATATGAGCAGAGTTATAAAGTCCAGACTACTTGACATGAAAGCACATACTGTGGCCTTGGTGATCCAGCCGATTGGAGGGTCTCTATTTCTAAAGCACAATCTAAGAGCACAATCTCCATATTCCTTTTAAATAACTTAAGCATTAAACACTGCAGTGTGGGTGAAACACTGTTTTATTTTAGCAGATATGAGTACCAAAGAGACATTTGACACCCTCCTCCCACCCTCTACCAATCATAGTGTTAGAGTAGGTGGTTAGGCAGAGATGAGCAGGGCAGGAGAGGGCCACCACACACCCGCAGGATTGTTAGGTGACCATCAAGTGATGATAAGGAAGTTGTTTAACTGTCTCTCTAAAATAATAATGGGTCATATCTGGTACCAGGATTAGGGTGAGCAGGCTCAAGCATGCACACTAAGAGGGAAAATATTGAAGTTTAACTGATATATGAACTTCTTCTAGGAATACTCGACTGGTAAGGAAAAAACAGCTCAAATGAACATGCACACAACTTCAGTGAACACACAGCACATGTGGCCCCTCCCAAGTGCTGGCAATCCACTGCACAGGTGGACAGCCTGCTCCAAAGGAAAAATTTAGGGAGGAGAAACGGAAACACCAGAAGTATGCCAATGTACAAAACCCCAAGTCGAGGGCTGAAGAGCACACTTGGATCTCTCAAGTTGCCCGCTTGGCCCTCTTCCAAGTGTACTTTCCTTCCTTTTGTTCCTGTTCTAAAACATTTTAATAAATTTTCACTCTTGCTCTAAAACTTATTTTGGTCTCTCCCTCTGCCTTATGCCCCTCAGCAGAATTCTTTCCTCTGAGAAGGCAAGACTAGAGTTTGCTGGAACCCCATCAGATTCACTGCTGCTAACAATAGCAGAGAATTTGGTGGTTGTTTCCATATTTAAGCAGAAAATACATTGAGACCTGTAAGACCAGGGGTGGAAAATCTCACTCAGTTACTAAGACGAGCCTTCCTTCCTGAATTTATACCTAAGTTATAACAGTGGAAGTGAAGCAGGAAAACTATACATAGAAACAACTCCAAACAGGCCTAGTCTCATTTGGAATGCTCCCTGGACTTCATGATTTCACAGTTGTTTACTGTCAGTCTAGAGGTGTGCCTTAACACAAACCCTATCAAATTTAAGAACAGGATGTTTTCAAAATTATGAATCAAACTAAGAGTCATTAACATAAAATGGCCTCAAGAAGATTGACAGGAGAAAGAGTTTAAAAATCAATTTATGTCCTCAGATGCTTATGGTTGTAGCTCTTCAGGGAATTCCTTTCGTTTAGTTAGTAGCACTAAAGTCCTTGCTTGTGTACAATAAGCCAGACACTATTCTTGTCACTTCACTATTTGACAAGCTCCCTTTAACTATAATGCTTGTACTTGAGACATTTCTTAATGATTTCCGTTTAAAGCTGCCTGACTCCTGTGTTTTTGCTTTGAGATTTGACTATTAAGTCTTTGCAACTGTGAAGCATTTGCTCTTCGCCTGGTTGGTGGTCCACTTATAATGTAAAACGAGGCCCACGTATAATGTAAAACTTTCTATAATGCATGAATCTAAAAGAGAAGAATATTATTTTAAAAGCTGAGAGGAGAGAAACAAAGTGTCTTTCCGGAAAAGAAAAGCTAAAGCTGGGTGCCTGCCTCCCTGAAGTCCTTTGCGAGCCCTGAGCATCCTGAAGCGAATTTACAGCATATAATCAAGTGTGATTTATCCTGATTGCATCAGAACTAATTATGGAGTACCTCTCACTCAAAACCTCCGTCTAATTAGAAGTATCTGGCAAGAAGGTATTTGCATATCTTCAAGTCATATTATGTCATGAGGACATTTGAGCTGATGAAAATTGACATTTACTATAAAATTAAAATAAAATGCATTGAAACCAGGAGTCATCAGAAATTCACAGCTGTGCATTTGGGAGCCTGTTTTAATTGATGAGACATAGTGGCTCTGCATCATGAAGCAAATCAGAACATGAAGAATGTAAATATACAGAGTCAGAATATCACAGCAAGAGGCAGAGCTGCAGACACTGTGATTGGTACAGGCATGTCCCAGATTTTGGTTTCTTGCTCTTCTCTTCCCATTCCTTGGTATTTATATATCAGATTTTAGGAGCAAAGCTTTACTCTCACTCTCACTGTTGTTTCCTTGTCATTTTACCATTGCTGTGCCATTTCTACATATTAGAGAACTAGCACCAAATGCCTATAGTAATAATTTTCAGACAAAAGAGGCTCAGAGAAAGAAGGAGTTTACAGTTGATTTTCAGGAGAATGTCATCATTTTATGTTACTGTATTTGCCTTCTAATAATTATAAAGAGTACCTATTAAAGTTACATCAATAACTGCTGCTTATAATACGATGAGCATTGTCCTATGTGCTTCACATGAATTAATTAATTTAATCCTTGAAAATCCTCTGAAGTAAATGCTCTTATTATCTCCACATTAATGACTAGGAATCTGGGCCTAAGAGTGATGGAATAATTTGTTCAAGATCACCTAGCTTCTAAGTGGAATTTGGGATTTGAACCTAGCCAACATGACTCCAGAATCTGAATTCTAAGCACTCGCACTCTTCATGCTAGTTGCTAGAAGCAATCTTCAATATGTTATTCACAGGGACACACACAGACACACACAGAGTGCACAGAGTGATTGGAGTAGGACTGGCAAGATTGGCAAGTGACTCAGTCAAACCAATAACATCTTTCTCCAGGATTCTTGATGCAACTGTTGGGAAAGAGACACTCTTTTGTGTCTAGAATTGCTAACTCTAAGAACACTGTATATTTAGAGCAGTATCCTTTATTCCACGTGGAAAAAAAACACTGAATAACTTATTGAAAAAATAGCAACTAGCAACAAAAGTGCAGTTGCTTAGAGCTTAGAATCTTGATTTAGATTGGCTGGGTTCAAATCCTGAATCTCACTTACAAAACAGAAATCTTGAACAAATTATTCCATCACCCTTAGGCCAGTTTCCAAATCATTAGTATGGAGATAATAATAGCACCTACTTCTTACAAATCCAACAAAGAGAAAAGTAAAGCTAAGATATGGAGGACAGAAGAGTAAGTATTAATAATATAATTCAAGCCGCTGTATTAGATAGGGATTCAGCCATATCTGAAGACAGACGGCACCACTGTTTTCATGCCATAGCCCATATGCATCTCTTCTTTGGTTTAAATGGTGTAAGAACATTTTCTGTCATGGGTCCTGAGAAGCACACTATGAGAGTCAAAAGATGAACAGGGAGTGTTATGTGTACTTACAGAGCCTAAATATTGTGCTTTGGAGCAAGGAATGATCTTGAATGATTAGCTATATCAGGATATCTCCAAAAGGAGAAACACCTCACCTCTGTCTTCCAAAACACGAACCAAGAAATTCACATTTGTGTTACAGAAAGCATTTGAAATATATTTTTGCTCCATTGTCTTAAGCACACCTGACAAATCAAGAAATCAGTATAATAGGAATGTGTATTTATATGTTACTTTACAATTGATGATGTGGGTTTATTCCCTGTATTTTGTCCTCAAAACAACCATTTGAGCTTCCTGCAGCATGTTTTATTATTTTCATTTTACAGGTGAGAATACTGGGGTACAAGGAGATTAGATAGAGCTATAAAGCAAAATCTACCTATGACTAAGTAATTACTGAAGTAAAAGGATTTTTTCACCACAACATGTATTTTTTTTTTAAATGCAGCTGTAGGTGGCAGTTGTTTTACTTGGAAATGTGCAATTCAAAGAGAGTCTCTGCACATGATTATATGTGCAATTGTAGTCCGGTATATTCAATGGCTCATTGGATATATAGGACTAAAATGAATATAGATTTATTTTAGAAGTTGCAGATTAGGTAATTAAATAAACAGTGAACATAGAAATCTGGGAGTTTTGTGTGCATCAAATAATTTTATTTCTTATTTTTTTAATCCTTTCCTTAGAAACACTTTTTAAATTCTTATAGGCTATTTTTCAGGATGTGTTAACTATTTTGGTAAATTATAATTGAGTGCTCATAATGGCAGTGAATATACTCAATTCATTATCTAAACTATTTCAAAGGGAATATGACTACAAAAACACTAGCTAACTGAATGTATTAGTTTCCTATTTCTGCTATAACAAATTGAGACAGATTTAATGGCTTAAAACAATGCCAATGTATTATAGCAAATGTATTATATTTTAATTCTGGAGGTCAGAAGTCTGAAATGGGTCACACTGGGCTAAAGGCAAGGCATTGGCAAGGCTGCATTTCTCCTGGATGCTCTAGAGGATAATACATTTTCTCGCCTTTTCCAGTTTCTGAAGTTTGCCTACATTCCTTGGCTCATGGCCCCCTTCCTGCATCTCCAAAGCAGCAAAACAGGTTGAGTTTTCCTCATGCTTCCATCTCTCTGGTTCTCTCTCTTCCACTTGCTTTTTTCACTTACAAACACCCTTGTGATTATATTGGGTGCACCCACATAATCCAGGATAATCTCTGTTCATCTCAAAGTCATCTGATTAGCAAACTTAATTCTATCTGTAACCTTAATTCTCCTTTCGCATGCCACCTAACATTTTCACAGCAATCAGGGACTAGGGCATAGACATGTTTCAATGGAGTATCCTTTTGCCTACTACACTTACCAAATTTTTATTTATAGTTTTGTTATACAAGAATGAATACAGAATACGTTTCCATTTTGAAATTTTAGAACATAAAAACATCAAAAATGTTAAGTATCTTTCCTAATATGTGCACAATATTTGACTATAAAATATATGAATATCTAGTTTCTGTAGGTGTATATAACATTTCACTTGAAAATGAGTGATTTTCATCTGGGTAGTCACGATATATTGATAAACATTTGACAATATTCAAAACATTTAAGTCTTCTTTTAAACTTGTGCTTCTATTCCTTCATTAGACTTTCCTGTTTGATGAAAAACCATCAATATTTTTGGAGACAGGGAGCTGTATATTTGGAAATACTTTGATTTATATATGATGAATAAGTGACTGAGTTCCCAAAATTAGACTTTTTGCCATTGTTTTAATCATTATTAGTTTTGTCCAAAACAGCATAGCCACAAATTGATAAGACTGGCTCTGAAGGCAATCTCAAAAGAGGAGACACCAAAAAAATTAAGTAAAAAGTCATTAAATCACAGAAGTAGTTTTATGATTTATCAGTGTGAATGTCTAAATTGACTAGCTACTCTCATTGGTACATGAGAAATTAGCTATTCAGCATCATTGTATTTTGAACCATATATAAGCCCGTAACTAATTAGGAACCTCCTATTTTTTACATTTTCAAATTATTACTATTAATGAATATGCACACACACACACATTTTAAATTGACGCCATTATATGTGTTTCTTTGGTAGTGTTGACTTTAAAGCATCCCTAGTGGATAAATATAAGTAACTAGAAATTGCTCGGAAATGAAGATGTGTATAATGAATGCATTTAAATCAAACGTAGCACAAGGAAATACTTTTCTGCTCCTTTATCAGTCATATTGAAACTGCTTCTAAGTGTTCACAGTAAGGACCCTTCTTGTGTCTATTTCTCTAACCCATTCCTTTTCCATTGTCATGTATATATACACATTGTGATATTAATACCACAATCAAGCTAGTAAAAATATTAATTACTTCACATACTTACTATTTATGTGTGTGTGATAAGAGCATTTGAAATCTACTCTCTAAGCAAATTTCAAGTATACAATACATGATTATTGATTATAATCACCACGCTGGATGTTATGTATACAGAACTTTATTCTTTTTTTTTTTTTTTTCAGAGTCTCGCTCTGTCACTCAGTTTGGAGTGCAGTGGCGTGATCTCGGCTCACTGCAACCTCTGCCTCCCCATTTCCAGCAATTCTCCTGCCTCAGTCTCCTGAGTAGCTGGGATTATAGTCGCCTGCCACCACGCCCAGCTAATTTTTGTATTCTTAGTAGAGATGGGGTTTCACCATGTTGGCCAGGCTGGTCTTGAACTCCTGACCTCAGGTGATCCACCCGCCTAGGCCTCCCAAAGTACTTTATTCATCTTATAACTGAAAATGTGTATCCTTTGAGCAACATCTCTCATTTTCTCCAACTTTCAGCCTTTGTAAACACCATTCTACTCTCTGTTTTTATGAGTTTGACTATTTTAGATACTTCATATCAGTGGGATCATGCAGTATTTTTTTTTTCTGTGCCTGGTTTATTTCTTATAGCATAATGCATTCTAGGTCCATTCATATTGTCACAAATGGCAGGAATTCTTTCTTTTTAAAGGCTCAATATTCCATTGTATGTATATACCACTTTTTTTTCTTTATCCATTCATCTGCCAGTGGAAATTTGTGTTGTTTCTATATTTTGGGAATGGCAAATAATGGTACAAGGAACATGGGAGTACAGATATCTCTTTGGGATTCTGATTTCAATTTCTTTGGATAAGTACCCAGAAGTAGAATTGCTGGATCATATAGTAGTTCTATTTTTAAATTTTTAAAGGACTTCCATACTGTTTTCCAGAGTGGCTGCACCATTTTACATTCCCCACCAAGAATATACAAAAGTTCCCTTTCCTTTACATGTTCAGTAACATCTTTTTTTTTTTCATAATAGCTATCCTAACAGGTATGAAGTTAGAGGAATGCCTATTTAGTTTTGATTGCTCATTTTTAATTGGGTTATTTAACTGAGTTATAGGAGTTTCTTATGCGTATTTGTTATTTATGCTTTATCAGATATATGGTTTGCAATTTTTTCTCCCATTCTGTAGATTGCCTTTTCATTTTGTTGATTGTTTTCATATGGTAATTCCAGTTTTAATTTTTTGAGAAACCTCCACACTTTTATCCATAGTGGTTGTACCATTTTACATTCCCACCAACAGTGTACAAAGGTTCCAATTTCTCCACATCCTCACCAACATTAACAGTCTTTTCTTTTCTTTTCTTTTTTTTTTTTTTTTACAGTCTCACTCTGTCATCCAGGTTGGAGTGCAATGGTGCGATTTCAACTCACTGCAACCTCCACCTCCCAGGTTCAAGCGATTCTCATGCCTCAGCCACCTGAGTAGCTGGGATTACAGGTGTGTGCCACCATGCCTGGTTAATTTTTTTTGTATTTTTAGCAGAGACGGGGTTTCACCATTTTGGCCAGACTGGTCTCTAACTCCTGGCCTCAAGTGATCCACCCTCCTCAGCTTCCCAAAGTGCTGGGATTACTGGCATGAGCCACTGGGCCCAGCCTGTTGTCCTTTTTAATAACAGCTATCCAAACAGGTGTGAAGTGTATCCCATTGTAATTTTGATACAACCCAAAGTGAGCAATATATTAAATGCTATTCCCATCAAAATCCCAATGACATTTATTTAAAATATAGAAGAAAGCTATACAGAAATTTACATGGAACCAGAAAAGAAAAAGACTAGAATAGCCAAAGTGATTTTAAGAAAGAACAAATGTAGAGACATTATATTTCCTGCTTTCAAAACATATTACAAAGCTACAGTATTGAAAATAGTATGGTACCAGCATAAATACAGATGCATAGACCAATGAAACCAAATAGAGAGCCCCCAAATAAATCTATGCATCTATGGTAAACTGATTTTCAACAACGGTGCCAAGAACACACGATGTGGAAAGGCTAATCTCTTCAATAAATAGTGATAAAAAAAATGGATATCAACCACAAAAGAATAAAGTTGAACTCCTAATCTTACATCATACACAGAAATCAACTCAAAATGGATTAGATATCTAAATATGAGACTTGAAACTGTTAAAATTTATAAAAGAAACTATAAAGGAAGTTTCTTGACATTGGTCTTGGCAATAGTTTCTGGGATATGACACTAAAAGCACAGGCAACAGAAACAAGAATAGACAGTGAGACAATATCAAACTAAAAAAATGTCTGCACAGAAAAGGAAACAATTAACAGAATGAAAAGACAATCTATAGAATGGAATAAAATATTTACAAAGCATTTATGTATTAAGGGGTTAATATCCAAAAAATGTAAGTAACTTCTACAACTGAATAATTAACTAAATAAATAAATAATCCAATTTAAAAATGGGAAAAGGATTTGAATATACTTTTCTCTAAAGAAGACAAATGACCACCAGGTATATGAAAAGGTTCTTAAAGTCACTAATCATCAGGGAAATGCCCAGACCCTTCTTTAAACCAAAATTAGTCAGCAGGTCTATGGATAGAATCCAACATATGTATTCAAACACTTCACTAAATCACTTAATTCTTCATTCTTGCACACATATACTGAATGATTATTATGTACTAGGGACTGTTCCAGGCACTGAGAATACATCAGTGAACAAAACATACAAAAACTGCTGACTTCATAGAGTGTACATCTAGGAAGAATAAAAACAATAAAGAATAGACACAATAAATTATTAAATTATGTAATGTAAGTATGTGTAAGTTCTATGAAAATGTATTAAGGGAGGGTGAGGGACTTCATGTGATATGTATGTGTGGGGAACGGTTGCAATTTTAATTAGGCTGTTAGAGTAGGACTTTCTGAAAATAAATCATTGAACAAACATATGAAGATTGCATGGAATTTAGCCATCCAGACACTTGGGGAAAACCTTCTGGGCAAAAGTTTCTAGTGCAAAGTCTTCAGGGCAGGAGCATGTTGAGTGTGTTCAGGAATCAAAATGGAGGCTGGAGAAGAGTTACAAAGAGGTGAGCAGTGGAAGATGAGATCAGGAAGGAAGAAGAGCATGGACAATATGGGGTCTGATAGCTCATCATAAGGAACTTGCCTTTCATTCTTAATAAAAAGGGGTCTTGAGCTTCAGAGTGACATGATCTGACAGGTTGTAACAGAGTAACCATGTCCTTTGGGTTTGTGTGTTTGTTTGGTTTAGTTTTTGACAATAGATTGTACAGGTCCACTGTGGATGCAAGAAGGCCAGTTAGGAGTTGCTGTTACCTAGGAGGGAGAATGAGAGCGTGGAGCAAGGTAGAAGCCATTCGGCTCATGAGAATTGTTGGGTTGTGGGTATTCTTTGAAGGAAAGACAATAACAGACACCTTTCGATGCATATCTCATTTTTAAATCACTGCTGATCAATATTTTATAAAGATAACCCTTTTCTTCTCCTGCAGATTCACCTGCAAGTTTATTCTAAGAATTTTATTTTTTGAGAGTTCATATCCCCATTCCCTTTCCACTCCACACCTACATAAATGTTCAAATTTAGTCTTACTTTGTTTTGGACCAATTGTGTATTTTCTCAAATTTGTTTTAAATTTTCCTTCCCACAATCTAGGACAATATTCCTTAAGTGGTGGTTCATGGGCCTCTTGCATCAGAAAGATCTGGGGTGCTTGCTAAGAATGCAAATTATGCACCACACAAAATTCACCAAGGACCCAGGGCATCTACAATTTTAACTCACTCTCTAGGAGAAGATAGGGAGTATATGTGATTGTAATTTTCTCTTGTCAGCAAGTCACATCTGATTTTAGCAAAAAACAACATCCAGCAAAGTCCCACAAGAGGACTGTATCTTGACTTTTTGCCACTATGTGGCTATGTGATCGCTGTACTTCCATTGAAAATCTAATAGCTTGTCTCTGCTTAAAATGCATGCCTGTGTCTTCTGTTCCCTAGTAGCCAGGTACATTAAACATTCCTGCATTTGTTCAATAAATATTGGTTGAATAGTTTTATATGACCAGAACAAAGATAAATCCTACCCTGTAGTTGCCCTATGGAGCTTAGAGTCAAGTGACAATATCTTTTTAAAGCAGGATATACATTTCTGACTTATTTCATTTTAACTGAAAGCACTCAATCAGTATTTTAATAATGAATAAATAACCAAAAGTTATTCTGATCACAGAAAGTATTCTAGTTTTTCCTATATTCATGTAATCCTTACCCCCCTTTATATATATTCGTTTAAAATCTCTTGGACTTTCTTAAATTTAAAGAAAAATTCTAACTGAATCTAGGAAATAATAAATACAAATGAGACTGAAATTTTATCTCATTTATTTTTGAACTGAGACATCTGAAGAGGAAGAAATGAGCTCAGCCATGTGCTGAATAGCTCAGAACATGAAGTAAAGTCTTTTAAGCATGCTTAGTATGTTTTTCCCATTCCATTCAGGATGCAAACTTCACGTATTCTCTCTTTCCAGACGTTTTCTGCTATTTGCAGCTTGGAGGGTTCTAAGCACTAATCAGTGGTGGAGAGGGAAATAAACAATCATGACAGTTAAAGGAGTTAATATAGCCAAGTAGTGTGAATTAATGTGTGGGCACAATGCCCTTTGTTAGCAGTCTTAGGAAGCACTCCAGTGGCCCCACAGTACTGGCACTCCATGTTCTTAATAAGCAAGGACCCTCAGCCTCACACAGTCTCACATGACAATGCAAAGGCACTGGGGAATGCACTTGGCTCCCTAGTATTCAGCATTTTGGGAGAAAAACAAAATGACAGTAGAAAGTGTTTTACTTGTTTATTCCAGAGGAATGTATTGTTTCAGTAGGATAAAGTAGGTCCTTTAAGGAAAAAGTTCAAATAAACTATGCATTAAACTAAGTCTACTACCAATATATTAATAGTATTGCAGCCAAGTTATAGTCATGTCTCTCTGATAAAAAGGTGCAATCTTTAAATAATAAATTTATTGTTCAAAATGTATTAAAGAAAATTGAAATAGAGTAGATCAAAACTGAGCTTTTCCAAGAAAAAGATGTGCAGCCTAAACTGCCATTCAAATTACCTAACTTCCAATAGCTTTCATCCAGGACTGCCAGCTCGCCTGCGATCTACCTGTCTTTGCTCAAATTAAGCATCCCTTTCTCCCCCAAAATGTAAATCTAATGCTGCCACAATAGCCATTCCAATAGCAATGACAATGAAACTTGATCTTTTCTACTTGGAATGTGTGCACCTTAAGATACATGGGCTGTTTGGGAAAAGGTATTCTAAACTAAAGCCTTTTAAGACACCTTTGTCTCACATAATCAATTAGGGCTGAATTACATAGGCCTTCAATCATTTGACAACCGAATTCTGTATAAGGAAATGGCTGATATCAAAAGAAGAGTGGCAGGGACTGTTTTTATAACATGTTTTAAGAGAATAAATGTTTTTAATATGAGTCTGCAGGAAGACTTCCTTTGGCAAAAGGCAAATGGCATCCAATTGGAGTAAATAACCTACGTATGCAATGACAAAGAAAATAAATGAAAAATTGTAGCTTTGGCATTTAACATATCCAAAAGGAAATACCAATCTTTTCAGAGAAAGCTATTTAGTCTGGCAGTTTCTAAGACTATAATTTTCTTCTTGCTTTGTTTGTTACCTTAATCTAAATCCTACAAAAAATAAACTAAAATAAATTTTCCAGAGAATGTCCTTTTCTAAGTTCTCTGTAAGCCTAATAAAATAATGCATGTGTCTCTTTATCTTCTCTAAATGAAATTTGATTTGGATTTTTTCTACCTTTATTAAAACTTTCTGATATTTGTTTGTTATCACTGCGTAGGTATGGATACCTGAAGTTTAGACTTCAGAAATGGTCTATTTGCTTCCAGAAACTGTGCCCCCAGTTCAAGAAGCTGAGTAGCAATTATGTCTCAATTAATAATCTATGATTTCCTTAGATATCTGCAACAAGAAACTCTGATTGGAACATAATTCAATTCTATTATATTTTTGTCTGAAATTAACATATTTATTACAACTTTGAATGTTTAATATTAATCTCTTCTGGGTTACTTTGGCTCCTCCCATCAATTCTTTCCCTCTTCCAGTAATTATTGCTGGGTGAAAATTTTGAAGTTCATGTTGAACTTCATGTTATTCCACTGCCTAAATCCATTCAGTAATTTTTAAAAAATATATTATCTAAATGGCCACATCTTATCAGGAATGAATAGAAAAGGAATGGTTTGAGACACTTCATCTCTTCGGCTCACTTCAAACTATGTTTTCCTCCACTGTTTGTCCTTCAGCTTTTCTGTCCTTCCAGTGTTTTTCTAAAGTAACTCACTCCCTCTGGCTGAAGGGCATTTTTATATATTGTTCCTTCTACCTAGAACAGTTTCTCCCCTACTATTAGTCATTTGAAGTGCATTTAAATTGTGATTTCTTCAAAGAAGACTTACCCTCTAAAACTAGATCAATTTAATTTACATTTGTGTGCATTATTCTTTGATAAATATACATCTCCCTGACTCGACACAAAACTCCAAGAGGATAAGGACCAAGTCTATCTGTGTTTACCATTTCATTAACAGAACTTCACATTATGCATTGATACCTAGAAAAAATAAACAATTAATGTGCTTGGAAAGCATGAATATGTACAAAAATTGCTTCTCTTAAAACTTGATATAAATTAAATGTTTCCTTACCACATTTAATGTTAGTTTACCCTAACATTATTATCCTGTTTATATCCATAATTTTCTTATTACTTCTGTTGCAGAAAAACAAAAAAAGAAAAAAAAACATATCTTTTTCAGTAGGCTTTTTTCTTCTGAGACTTGACATGAAAAATATTTAACCATCTACTTGGAATTTATCAAAATAAGCTCACTGAGCTTCCTTGTATTTTTAACCCTGAAGGCACTCTAGCTTATCTGAGAAGGCTCTCTGTGCCACTTTCCTCAACAGACTTTAGTAGACCCTGCTTTCTTTTCTCTAACCAACCCAACTTTTTAGGCAGAAGGGATAAAATTGTTACTTCTCATGGCAAAGACAGATAGGAAACTAGATGATATTCTCCAGATTTGCATAAAAACCTTTTCCATTAAAAAGTTTTCCTTGTGTATCTATCTCTGCTAATTTTAAATAGTTCTCTTTCCTCCACTCATCATCATTATACTCCTTAATGTCTTTTTTATAGTAAAATTTGGCTGGAGTTTTTTTCATTCATAAATTATCCAGATTCTTGATTCTGAAAAACTTTAAAACCAACTGAACAACTATCAATTGTAAACAGATCAAAATAATAGTTTCTTTATACTGAGATAAAATCAGTTAAATAAGTATTCAATAAAATAGACTTCTAGTTCTGGGGAGATAGAGTAGGCTTATTTTTCCTCATTCTTCCCTTTAAGCACAACTGAAAATCTTGGACATCATATATAATATAAATATGAAAAGACTCTGAAAGGTGGAGAGAATAAGGCAGACTGATAATGTCTGTAGAGACCTCAATATGAGCTTGGACTTATACCAATATCCAGTGGTCATGAGGTACCCCTCTGCATTTTCACTGACTACGGTGATGTCAAAGTTTGCCTATCAGTGAGTAGTGGCAAAAAAAAATCAACGATATAAAATAACTCAATAAATTAATCAGTCAAAAGGATCTAATTGACATTTATAGAACACTATACCCAACAACAGCACAATGTACATTTTTTAAAAAATGCCTTTATAACATAAATCAAAATCAACCATATCTTGGGCCATAAAACAAACTTCGACAAGTTTTAATGAATTGGAGTCATACAGAGTGTGTTTCTTGACCACAACAGAATCAAATTAAATATTAAAACAAAATACAACAGGAAAATCTCCAAACACTAAGAAATAAGTACAGCATAATTTGTAATAATTCGTGGGTTAGAGAAGAAGTCTCAAGGGAATTTACAAATACATTCAACTAAATGAAAATGAAATTATAGCATATCAAAATTTGTGGGAGTAGCTAAAGAGCACAGAGAGGGAAATTTATACAAGAGCAAACTAAACTCAAACCAAGCTGAAATAAGGAACTAATAAGAATAAAAGTAGATAATGATTACAGTGAAAACAGAAAAAATCAAGATGGATAATGCTGATGAAATAAAAATCTTGGCTTTATGGAGATTAATAAAATTGACAAGCCTCTAGTAAGAATGAGGAAAAGGGGAAATAATACAAATTATTAACATCAGGAATGAAACAGTAGATGCTACTACTCACCAACCAGGCATCAAAGGATAATAAGAGAATACTACAAACATAAATTTACAACTTAAATAAAATAGACCAGTTACCTGAAAAGCACAAACTACCAAAATTTACTGTGACAAATAAGTAATTTGAATACAATAAGTATTAGGGAATAGATATTTTAAAGTGAAAACCTCCTGAATAATAAATATTCTTATAATTCTAAGAGAATTTTGGCCACCAAAATTCTGTGACTCTGGTGTACTTTCCCTGTATATTACCCAGGACTCTGCATATGATTAATTATACTCCCATGACTAGGTTATATTGTATTACAAATTGACTTTTAAAAAAAGGGAGATTATCCAGTGTGCCTGACCTAATCACAGGAGCCCTATAAATCTGGACACACTAGTCAGAGACAGAAAAGTCAGAGAGATTTGAAGAATGAGAGGAACTTGACAAGGTATAAATTATCCATTGCTGGCTTTGAAGATGGAGGCGGCCATATGGTAAAGAATGTGGGTGGTTTCTAGGAGCTCAGATAAGCATCTGGCCAACAGCCTGTAAGAAAAAGGGTGACATTAATAGTATAACTGCAAGACAAAATTTTTCAAACATCTTGAATGATCTTGGAAGAGAATTTTTCCCCAGAGTTTTCAGATAAGAGTTCAGTCTCGCTGGTGCCTTGATTTCAGTATTGTAATACCCTGAACAGATAACCAGTGTATTAGTCCATTCTCACACTGCTGCTAAAGACATGCCCAAGACTGGGTAATTTATAAAGAAAAAGAGGTTTAATGGACTCACAGTTCCACGTGGCTGCGGAGGCCTCACAATCATGGTGAAAAGTGAAAGGCACATCTTACCTGGCAGCAGGGAAGAGAGAGAATGAGAACCAAGTGGAAGGGGTTTCCCCTTATAAAACCATCCAATCTCATGATACTTATTTACTTATTTACTACCATGAGAACAGCATGGGAAAAAACCACACCCCTGATTCGATTACCTCCCACGGGTCCCTCCCATGACACATGGGAATTATGGAAGCTATAATTCAAGATGAGATTTGGGTGGAGACCCAGCCAAACCATATTAACCAGTTATGCCATGCTGGACTTCTGACATAGATAACTATGAGCTAATATAAATTAGTGTTATTTTAAGCTTCTAAATTTGTGGTAATTTGTTACACAGCAGTAGGAATATAATACAACAGACAATAAGACTGAGACTTTTGAGCATGTAAGAAACACTCTCTCAATCCTTCAAGACTACTCACTTTGAAAAAAAATGTGAAAAGATAGTTCAAACAATGGCAATCGGTGCCTCTGACTCCAAGATGTATAGAGACCCCAAGGACCCATGAAGAAGTATCCCCCAACAGAAAATCCACATCTCTCATTATTCATAAATAGGTTTCTCAGCAGAAATTGTGAAGACCAGGAGAGAGCTGGATGTTATGTTCAAAGCACTGAAGGAAAAAAATCCCAATGAAACATACTATACCTTGCAAAACTGTCTTTTAAAAATGAGGGAGAGATAAAGGCTTTCCCAGACAAACAAAAGCTGAGGGCGTTTGTTTCTACCAGACCTGCCTTACAAGAAGCTGCTAAAGGAAGTTATTCAAGTTGAAATAAAAAAGATGATAAGTGGCAACGCTAAAGTATATGAAAGTATAAATTTCACTGATAAAGGTAAATATATAGACAAATATAGAATAATGTAATACTGCAATAGTGGCATATAAATCACTCTTAGCCCTGGTAAAAGAGTTAAGTCAGAAGTATTAAGAATGCCTATAACCACAACAATTTGTTGTTGGATACACAGTACAGAAAGAAGTAATTTTAATATCGATAACACAAAAAATATTGAGAAGTGGGAGTAAAAGTATAGAGTTTTGTAAACAATTGAAGTGATTATCAGCTTAAAGTGGACTGTTATAACAACAAGAAATTATATGCAAGCCTCATGGTAACCACAAAAAAAATCCCATAGGAAATACAATAAAAGATAAAGAAAAAAGAATCAAAGTATATTACTACAAAAAATTTCAAATTTCACAGAAGTCAGGAAGAGAGGAGAAAAGGAAAAAGAGAGCTACAGAATAGATAGGAAACAATTAAAATGGCAATAGTAAGTCCTTACCTGTTAATAATTACTCTAAATGTACAAACTGATTAATCAATCAAAAGATATAGATTATCTAAGTATATTTTTAAAGCAAAATCAGACTATATGATGTCTAGAAGAGGCTCACTTTAGAATTAAGGACATGCATCGGCTGAAAGTGAAGGAATTGAAAAACATTTTCCATGCAAATGGTAACCAGAAGAGAGAAGATGTGGCTATCCTTATATCAGACAAAGTAGACCTAAGTCAAAAACTGTCACAAGAGACAAAGGAGGTCATTATATAATAATAGAAGGGTTAATTCATCAGGGAAATATAACAATTATAAATGTTTATGCACCCAACATCAAAGGACCTAAACATGCAAATCAAATATTGACAGATCTGAAGAGAGAAATACGCAGCAATACAATAATAGTAGAAGGCTTCAGTACTCCATTTGCAAACATAGACAGATCAACCAGACGGAAAACCAATAATGAAATGGCAGAATTGAACAACACTGCAGACCAAATGGGCCAAATAGACATACACAGAACTTTCCACCCAACAGCAGAAGAATATAGTATTCTCAGGCACACATGAAACGTGCACCAATATAGGTCACTGTGATGGTTGATTTTTAGTGTCAACTTGACTGGATTAAGGGATACTCAAATAGCTGGTAAAGCATTATTTATTCTCCAATTTTAGTATATGTGCTGCTGAAGTGAGCACATTATTTATTCTCGATGTTTCAGTAGACACAGAGCTAGTCCCTCTTCTGCCGAAAGAGAAACAGGTGATTATGCTTTTTATTAGAATTATTGGGCTACACTAGGTGTGTTTGTGAAGGTGTTTCCAGAGAAGATTGGTATGTGAGTCAATGCACTAAGTGGGAAAGACCTGCCTTCAATAAGGGCAGGCACTATGCAATCAGCTGGGGGCCTGGATGGAACAAAAAGGTAGAAGAAGGGCAAATCCTTGCCCTCTCACTCCTAGAGCCAGGATGCTCTTCTCTGGCCCTTGGACATTAGAACTCCAGGATCTTTTGCCTTTAGACTCTGGGACTCACACTAGCGGTTTCCTGGTTCTCAGGTCTTTGGCTTTGAACTGGTGGTGAGAATTACGTTATTGGCTTCCTTGTTTCTGAGGCTCATGGATTTGGACTGAGCCTTGCTACTGGCTTTTCTGGTTGTGTAGCTTACACACAGCCTATCATGGGACTTCTGAGCTTACAGAGTCAAGTGAGCCAACTTCCCTAATGAATTCCCTTTTATAGCTCTCTGTTGATAGCCTATCAATTCTGTCTCCCTGGAAAACTCTGACTAAAAGTCACAAAACAAATCTTAACACATTCAAGAAGATCAAAATTATACCAAGTATCTTTACCAAGAACAATGAAATGAAACTAGAATGCTTTAACAGTACAGAAATGGGAAAATTCACAAATATGTGGAAACCGAATTACAGTCTCTTGAACAATGATAGAGTCAAAGACAAAATCAAAAGAAATATTTAAAAATATCTCGAGACAAATGAAAATGAAACACAACATACAAAAAATTATGGATGTGCAAAAGCAGTGGAGTCCAAAGAAGACCTTTCTTTGTGCCATGGATTTCACTGGAGCCAGGTTTTTACAAACATAGCAATCATAATGAATGTCACGCAGAAGAAAAATGTAGTTATGCTGAACGTCAGTTTCACAGATCTCATTTTGAATTCTGACTCTTCATTATCTTCTTCAAATTTTTGTCCCAATTTATATCATAATTGACTCATAGATTTGATCTTGATTGTTGACTATCCAACAGTATACTTTTTCCTGATTTGAACAACCTCTCCTTCATTTGATTATTTATGTATGCTTCTAGAATATGTATGCCAACATAAAATCTCCTTTTCCTCCCCTCAGGTCACATACATTGTAGAAAATAGTAAAATCCTTTTCCTTACCTTTTGTTGTTATCTTATGCACATTTTAACACGCTTCAGAATGAAAAAATTTATTAAAATAATGTTGAGGTTTATATAGTATGATAGACTGATTAAAAACACAGCTGAAATAATTATTTTAGTTACAGAAAGTCTCAGTTGTCAAACAATCAAATAGATGATAACATAATTAATCCTAATTGCTTGTTAACATGAAAGCATCAAGTAGCAAGATGACACCTTGGTTCAGTTCAGTCATCTTAATGACCGAGGCAGAATTCTGTAGGTTTAAAATGTGAATAATTAACTGCTACTGAGTTAAAAACAAGTAAATCAGCTATTAAGCAATATACACGTTATACATTACTTGTGTCAGAAATCACAGTGGGAGACAGTTAAAACAAGTAGCATTACTATTACGATGTTTACAAAGTACTTTAACTTACAGCCCAATTTAGTCTTCACAATGATAGTTTACATATTATTATTATTATTTCATTTTTTAAAATTTGTCCTAAAATAATTAAGTGTAAATGGCTTATCCAAAGTCATACATCTAATGAGTGCTGTAGTTCTAACTCAAGCAGAGGTCTGAATCTGATAGCTTTTCTACTGTTCCTCTATCGCTATCCATAGATACTAAAACACAACTTTTCAAGTTATATTATCCCTAAAAAATTAACTCATTAAATTATTTTGTATTTTGAAACTGAAATCATAGTTTCGTAGTTATCATTGGGAAGGGTGGCTAGTTTTATGGCACCATAAATTAGTAATGGTTTATAACAAGCTTTCAGCTCTATTGACAATTTCAGAAAATTTCTCCCAAACCACATTCTATGACATTATGAACCAAATTTTTTAAATTTTCAGCAGGTCTTTCTGTCAAAAAATTTTCCCTTATCAAGTGGAAACTCTGTTGTTCTCTAATGTATCAAGAAACTAGATGTTCTTGACAGACTGATTCTAGTTTTCAGCTGTCTTGATTATTTTTCTGCAGCCACTTTTGTCATTACTTTCCAGATAATCTCATAGTTGTTTTTTTTTTTTTTTTTTCTTTTTTTTTTTGAGACAGAGTCTCGCTCTGTCGCCCAGGCTGGAGCGCAGTGGCGCCATCTCGGCTCACTGCAAGCTCCGCCTCCCAGGTTCATGCCTTTATCCTACCTCAGCCTCCTGAGCTCCAGAGTAGCTGGGACTACAGGCGCCCACCACCACACCCGGCTAAATTTTTTTGTATTTTTAGTAGAGACAGGGTTTCACCGTGTTAGCCAGGATGGTCTCGATCTCCTGACCTCGTGATCTGCCCGCCTCAGCCTCCCGAAGTGCTGGGATTACAGGTGTGAGCCACTGCGCCTGGCCTCTCATAGTTTCTTAACAATTTACACAGGGTATTTCGTTTTGTTATTATTATTTTTTTTTCTTTTGAGACAGAGTCTCATTGTGTCTCCCAGGCTGGAGTGCAGTGGCATGATCTGGGTTCACTGCAACCTCTTCCTTCCGGGTTCAAGCAATTCTCGTGCCTCACCCACTGGAGTAGCTGGGATTACAGGGGTGCACCACCACATATGGCTAATTTTTATATTTTTAGTAGAGATGGGGTTTCCCCCATGTTGGCCAGGCTGGTCTTGAACTCCTGGCCTCAAGTGATCCACCTGCCTCTGTCTCCCAAAGTTCTGGGATTACAGGTGTGAACCACCGTGCCTGGCCTGTTTTGTTATTTTCCACTGGATCCATTCACATAAAATCAGTTTCACATATAATTGTAGTCACTATTTTAATTGTCTGTATTCCAAAACATTTTTTGCTATATGTTACAGGTATTCAAGATCCTTTACATATGTTCATTACATGTGCTTGACTGACTATAGCTTTCTCAGAGGAAGAAACATTAATTTCCCTAAAAATGTATATCTTACTACTAAATACATATGATGCAAATTATATCTTCAAAGAAGTGGTAGAATTTGTTGAGTGGGGAAAGTTTAGGAAGCATAATTACTGTCTTTAGGCCTAGGTCATACAGGCCCTTGCCCAACCCTCTCTGACAGGGCTCCTGCTGGTTAGACCAACACAATCTTCTAGCCCATACTCTGGCCAATCATGTCCTAGGGTTTCCCTTCTCAAATGGCCCTGAATCCACTTCCAGGGTTGTGTGGGCTTCCTCTTGAGCCCATCACGCTAAGTACAGAGCTATCTTACATGTATATGCTCCTAAGCCCAGTGGATAATCAAGTGGCAGATGTCAGTAGGGAGATGTGGAAAAAAAATTTAACCTGTATATGGGAGTGTCCTTATGGGTGTAAGGACCCTGTCAGTGTGAGAGTATGCAAAGAGAGGAGAAAAGAAGAGAGTCAACAGGGTTCAGGGGTGCGCTTTTTCTGTGCTGCTACTTTCTGACCTTGAAGTGAAAAGAGTTCATAACTTGAGCCTGCCCTTTCAGGTGATTAGGAAAGTACCTTGTCAAGGTTGGAACATAGACCATGTTTTACTTAGTAGTTTCTTAGCATTATATGTTACCTTTAAATTCATAGATTTATGGCAATTTGGCCTTTATTTTGTTCTATTGTTATATGTCCCACAAATGTTATAAATGACCTGAACAAGTATGATATTACCAGCTAGCGAGTTCACATTTGTTTTGCTAGCATATGACAATAACATATTGAATATGATATAATGTCAGAAGAATACATCGTGATGATTATCAGAGCCTTGATGATTTCTCCTTAGATTTAAATGGCTTCACATCTTTCCTTTTGTAGATATCCTAAATGTAAGACAGCATACTAAGAATTTCTCATTCAAAGTAATGACACAAATGTGAAGAGTTCATACTCTCAATATTCCTGAAGTAAAAAGTCAAGGCAATTCAATCTAAAATTATTCATCCATTTAGAATACACATGTCAATCATGTGCTGTGTATATGGAATACATTTTTAAGGATCTCTTGGTAATAAAAATATAAATGGGACACAGTTATAATTTTCTTATCTAATAATAAAGACAAGTCTGCTAATGGCTATAATGTAGGGCAACAAGTAGTTTGTCCATGAGAAGTAAATACATTATTCTGCAGGAGTTTCAAAGCAGGAAAATTTTTGCAGGAAATATATGAATTGCTTCAATGGTGCATTTTTGTCCATCCACCAGAATTTAGTCTATTTAGAGAAAATGTTGTCTTCTATATTTATATGTCCCCTGCTACACACACTATCTGGGACATGTTAGGAAAGACATAAAAGTTTACTTAATAATTGGCTGGGCGCGGTGGCTCATGCCTGTAATCCCAGCACTTTGGGAGGCCGAGGCAGGCAGAACACGAGGTCAGGAGATCAAGACCATCCTGGCTAACATGGTGAAACCCCATCTCTACTAAAAAAAATACAAAAAATTAGCCGGGCATGGTGGCGGGCGCCTGTAGTCCCAGCTACTTGGGAGGCTGAAGCAGGAGAATGGCGTGAACCCAGCAGGCGGAGCTTGCAGTGAGCCGAGCCGAGATTGTGCCACTGCACTCCAGCCTGGGTGACAGAGTGAGACTCCATCTCAAAAAAAAAAAAAGTTTACTTAATAACTTAGAATTGGAAGGGTATTTCAACTATATTATAGAATACATGAAGATGGAACTCAAGGATTTTTTTAAAAAGGAGGAAGCCACTTGAGTTTGAGAAACTATTATAAGCAAAGTACAAATGGGAAATTTATATAGGAGAAATGCAAGTAGTGCAGCTGAGCTTTGTTGTTGTCTTCCTGGAGCAATGGTTGGGAAAAAATTTGGAAAGTCGTGCAGATTAAGAAGGCCTTGAGTATATAGCTAAGGAGCCTTCACCTTGTTAAGCAATATAGTGTCAATGAGTGTTTTTGACCAGTTGAGTTTCATGCATGGAAATCTACTTTAGGAATTTTAACATCTGGCCGACAAGCCAAAAAAAAAAAATTCTCAATATCACTACTCACTGGAGAAGTGCAAATTAAAACCACAATGAGATATCATCTTACCAAAGTCCAAATGGATATTATCAAAAAGACAAAAAATAACAGATGCTGACAAAGATACAGAGTAAAAAGGACTCTCATACACTGTTAGTGGGAATGTAAAGTAGTACACCCACTATGGAGAACAGCTTGGAGGTTCCTAAAAATTGAGCTACCATATGATCCAGCAATCCTACTTCTGGGTATATACCCAAAAGAAAGGACATCAGTATGTTGAAGAGATATCTACACTCCCATGTTTGTTGCAGCACTGTTCACAATAGCCAAGATTTGGAAGCAATGTAAGTGTCCATCAACAGATGAATGGATAAAGAAAATGGAGTACATATACACACCAGAGTGCTATTCAGCCATAAAAAGGAATAAGATCCTGTCATTTGCAACAACATAGATGGAACTGGAGATCATTATGTTTAGTGAAATAAGTCAGGCATGGAAAGACAAACATCAAATGTACTCACTTATTTGTAGGATCTAAAAATAAAAACAATTGAACTCATGGACATAGAGAATAGAAAGATGGGAGAATAGATAATAGAACCAGAGGCTGGGAAGGGTAATGGGGGACTGGGTGGGAGATAGGGGTGGTTAATTGTTACAAAGAAAAATAGAAAGAATGAATAAGACCTACAATTAGGTAGCACAACAAGGTGACTATAGTCAATAATAATTTTACATTTTATCATAACTAAAAGAGTATAATCTAACTGTTTGTAACACAAAGGATAAATGCTTTAGGGGATGGATACCCCTTTATCCATGGTGTGCATATTTCACACTGCATGACTGTTTCAAAACATCTCATGTACCTCACAAATATATACACCTACTATGTACTCACAAAAGTTAAAAATTAAAGAAAAAAAGAAAACAATATAGATATTCCTCCAAAAACTAAAAGTAGAACTACCATTTGGTCCAGCAATTCTACTACTAGGTGTCTAAAGAAAAAAAAATCATTATATGAAAAAGATACCTGCACATATATGTTCATCACAGCACTATTCACAATTGCAAATATATGGAATCAACCTAAATGTCCATCAACAGATGATTGGACAAAGAAAATCATATATAATTTCATTCATTTTATAGCAGAATAGTATTTAATATCTATATATAAAATACTTATATGTATATAAATGAAATACTATAAGTATGCATAAGTGTATATATGTATATATGTATATGTGTATCTATGTGTACATATATATATACAAAAAAATTAAATGATATTCTGCTACAAAAAAGAATGAAATCATGTCTTTTGCAGCAACATGAATGAAACTGGAGGCCATTATCTGAAGTGAAATAACTCAATCAAATACCATATGTTCTCACTTATAAGAGGGAACTAAATAAAATGCACACATAGACAACCTCTGTGGAATAATAGACCCTGGAGACTAGGAAGGGTGAAAGGGAGATGAGGAATGAGAAATTATTTAATGGGTACAATGTACATTATTTAGGTGATGGTTACTCTTAAAGACCAGACTTCACCACTATGTAATATATCCATGTAACATAATCACATCTGTACACCTTAAATTTATACAAACAAAAAAGAAAAAAAGGCTGGGTGTGGTGGCTCATGCCTATAATTCCAGCACTTTAGGAGTGTTTGAATCTAGCCTGGGCAACACAGAAAGACCCCATCTCTACAAAAAAAAAAAAAAATTGAAAATTAGCCGGGCTTGGTGTCACATGCCTGTGGTCCCAGCTACTTGGGAGGTTGAGGAGAGAGGATCACTGGATCCTGGGAGGTCCAGTCCACAGTGATCTGTGATAGCACCACTGCACTCCAGCCTGGGTGACAGAGTGACACCCTGTCTCAAAAAAAAAAAAAAAAAAAGAATTTTAATATCATGGTTTGGCTGAAAATACATGGGAGGAGAGACTAGAGATAGCAGATGAACTAAGAAAATCTTTATTCAACAGCCACTTATTGAGAACTTATTAGTTAACAGGCCCTGCACTATGATCTGGAGACACTGAGGCACATAAGTGATAGCTCTGTCTTAGAAATCTCAGTAGAAGAGACTGGCCTTCAAGAAAAAGTTATAGTACAATGTGGTCAGTGTTTTTGAAAAAGGTGTTACAAGGACAATATAAGTGTAGAAAAGGGATCCATTAAATTCCATAAATGAAAACTTGAATTTGAGGGAAGTAAGAGTGGAAAAGGAATAAGAAGAATTATCACAAGATATTATAAAGGTTCCCTGAATGGGACTTTATGTTGTAAATACAAGTGAACAGGAAGGTTTAAAGTTGGCTATGGCTAGAGTATGGCATAAAGAGGGAGTAAAAATCTACTAACCACCTCAGGAAATGCAAAAGGAGAGATTTATTTAGGAGGAAGTACAATGATCTAACCACATAGAGATGATTGTTTCTTTGGGACTGCTGGCAGAAATAATAGCACAAGTTTACTGAACAGATTATGTCTCATGAATCTCCCAACTTGTTTCCTACTTCTCATCTAAAGTTATGCAGCATTGGCTGGGCGCAGTGGCTCACACCTGTAATCCCAGCACTTTTGGAGGCCGAGGTGGGTGGATCACTTGAGGTCTGGAGTTCAAGACCAGCCTGGACAAGATGGTGAAACCCCATCTTTACTAAAAATACAAAAATCAGCCAGGCATGGTAGTGCGTGTCTGTAATCCCATCTACTTGGGAGGCTGAGGCAGGAGAATCACTTGAACCCGGGAGGTGGAGGTTATAGTGAGCTGAGATCATGCCACTGCACTCCAGTCTGGGCAAGAGAGTGAGACTCCATCTCAAAAAACAAAAAAAAAAGTTTTGCAGCATAAGGGAGTCAGTAAAGTTAAACTGGTACGTAGGCAGCCTCTCCTTCATTTTGGGATACCAGTAGCATAAATTTAACCAGAGAAAAAGTGATCAGTGAGAAGATATTGCACAAAACTAGCACTAATCACACAGGACCAGAAAGCAATTTAGACCAAACACTGACAAACAAATACCTACGAGACTGCTGAAAGAGAATCCAGTTTAGGACATTGGAATAAGATGGTCCAACCTGCAAAAGCTATGCACCTTGCTATGCTGAGTTTCCAGAAAGCTACTGGACAAGGGCTCTGATATATCCTTAAATAAAGCAACTTTATATTCCTGATTACTATATATTGAGTTTGAGGAAAGAATTTCAGATGGGAAAAGCGGTAAAGTAGGAATTCCTTTCCTTTTAAAGCAGATGAGTGCATCTGTCCTACCTTTCAGGTCACAAAATGAAATATCAAGCAAAATCACTGAGCTCATGTGCTTCTAGTTCTGGCCCATGTTACCAGCTGAAAATAAGCCTTCCAATCATAGTCAGTTTTGTCAGGAAATTTTGTGAAATGAGTTCCTGAAATGAGTCCATTCTCATAGACTATTGAAAAGTTGTTAGAGAAATAACATGGTAGGAGTTGTCACAGAAACTCAGAGTCTATTTGATATACAAGGCGGTGAACTAGGGAGGGAAGATTAGAATCTCTCCATACTCTATTATGGGTTGGCTTAGTTCATGTGTGTAATAATTAAATTTACTGTACTTTAATATAGAGAAAGAAAAAAACAATAAAAACTGGAAGGAATCCACTGAGGTGATGAATAGGCTAATTACCCTAATCTGATCATTACATGTTGTATACATGTATCAAAATATCACTATGTATCCCATAAACATGTACAATGATCACATTTTAACTAACAATAAAAGGTAAAAAAAGAAATAGCCTCAATTAGATTTCTAATACAAATGTTTTTATCTTGAGTGCTGGTTTCATTAATACATTCCTTGTACATGGAAGGTGATTAAATAAGTCAATATAGGTAAATTTGTGTTCCAGAAATAAAAAAATCCAAAATCTCAGTGGTTTTAAACAACAATAGTTCATTTGTACAGTGGGTTCTTCCAAGAAACAAGATGCTCCAATCCGTAGTCAAATAAAAAGTGACACTAAATATTAGGAAGTATTTGGTATAAAGGAGATTCCCATAAACATAAACATAGAAGATGGGCTTGGAAGAGGGGAGTGTTTTCTACATACTCATCCCAGAGCCTCTCCCAGACCTTCTGCAGACTCTATTCCCTTAGCACTTATGTTGAAGCTTTCAAAAGATCTGAAGATTAGTGAATCCTGACATCACTGCATTCTGGTTTAGTTTTCTATAAAATTTTCTTTTTCTACTAATTGTTCAGCATAAGAAAAGTCTCCAGCCTAAATTATAACAGGGCCCATATTATTAAACAAAAATATATTTATTTTAACTAGATAGCATTTAAAACTAAAATTGCAGTGGTTTGCCAAGAGGCCAAGCATAAATAGTAGTTGAAATACATATATATTTATTTAGGAATGCTGGTTCAGTTTCATGGATTTTTGAGCTACGTTAAATTTTAGAAAAGACTTTAAAATTTCTTGGCTTATAAGGTGTTCTGGAGAAATTATAGACTTTTAAATATTAAATCAGTGACACTTGAAATCACTTCTAATATAAGTTTAAAGGACAAGGGGGAATATATTTAAGCTAAAACATTATCAGTAGTTAACACATTGTCTTTGACAACTGTTGTAGCCTAACATTACCCAAGTCCACCTGATTACTTCTACTAGAATTGCATCACATGTTGGAGGGAGGAATTGAATGCAGATACCAGAAAGTTCCCGGAGAAGCCTGGAATATCTTCTGATTTTCAGTTATAGCTGTTGTATCTAAACCTCATGCAATTACTATTCTAGGTTCAGTGCTTTAATAATACTATGAAATTTCCTGAAAGTAAGAAATATTTTTGTTAAATTTCCCTGAGTTTCATTAATAAAAGTTTGTTGTATTTTTTGTGTGTGTTGACTGACGTTATGTTTCAAGGGATCCGAGAAACCCTGCAGCTGCAATTTTATGAAGGCAGATTTGTTTTTGTTTTCTTGTTTTTCCTCTCTCTCTCTCCACACTTCTGATTACAATGATTTCTGTTGATTAAAAGTGGAACATTTAACCTTCATTTAATTTGAAGATTCTGAGTACAGCAGGTAGCCTTTGCTTAAATTTCCAACTTTTTGGGGGAATAGGTGGTATACGGTTACATGGATAAGCTCTTTAGTGGTGTTTTCTGAGATTTTGGTGCACCCATCACCTAAGCAGTGTACACTGGACCCAATGTGTAGTCTTTTATCCCTCACCTCCATTCCCACCCTTCACCCTGAGTCCCCAAAGTCCATTGTATCATTCTAATGCCTTTGCATCCTCATATCTTAGCTCCCACTTATAAGTGAGAATATACAATGTTTGGTTTTCCATTCCTGAGTTACCTCACTTAGAATAATGGTCTCCAATTCCATCCAGGTTGCTGCAAATGCCCTTATTTCATTCCTTTTTATGGCTGAGTAGTAGTATTCCATGGTATATATATATATACCACATACATGGGCCAACTTATATGAACAAGATGCTCCTTTAGGACAAGGACTACAACTGCTCATTCACATACAGTCAAATTAGTGCATTGAATAAAGTGAAGACTGAATGAATTCACTAAAGGAACAACCAGTTGGCTTCAGACTGTCTAGATTCATGTTCTGCCTTTGCTCCAAGTTCCACATTTATAAGAAGACAGGAAAAAGTTTTATACTTCCTTAGTGGCTGATCCTTTTGGTAATCACTCTGCAGAATTAGAGAAATATCTATCTCCTGGATTCTTTTAGCTCCAAATGTCTAAATCCCTAAGAACTGAGACTGTGCTCTCACATCCACTTTATTGCCTACCCCATGAAACCTGCTGTGAGGGGAACATGGAGCAAGCTTACTTTCCCCAGGCTTATGTTTTCCTACAGGCCTTCCAGGACAACTTAGTTCTAACGTTGTGTTCCCCAGTGATGTTGACCAGCATTCAATTTGTCAAGTACTTTACTACACTTGTTTTTATTCAATGAAAACAGATAGTAGTACAATATTGTCTTTCACAGCATCTAAAATATAAAATGTAAATAAACAATTGAAAAATTATTTCCCTTTGAAGGAAGGGAGTATTTTGTACTCAATATAGAGATGACTAATAACTTTCAGTGAATAAATGTTCCATAAAAATATAGAATGAGATTTTGGACAGGAATTTTTCCTCCTACAAATGGTAAAAGCAAAAAATGTAAAGCAGAGCATGAAGGCTTGCTATTATTTTTTTCACTGAAAAATTGAAACTAGTGTATTTTCAGTTAATAAAGAAATACGTAAACACCTCTTTAATCTAGCATTTGTATGTACATTGCACTGCTTTGAAATTCCACATTCCCAGTCAAGGCTTGGCAGTAAAATAGCTCAAAAAGCACATGACCCATCAGACGTAATACATATTACTCACAAAAATAAACTGTCCTCTTCCCTAGAAAGGAAAGTATATAAATTTTAAATCACAGCAATCTACCATTGAAAAAAAATTTTTTTGAGGAGCCACCAGAGGCTAGATAACAAGGCACTGTGCTCAGCACAAAGGACTGAATGAGTAAGACACAATGACAAAGAAAATTAATGATTAAAGCAGTAAATCTTACAGCTTGAATTTGCAGTATTCAAATCACTGATTGATTTAAACAATTAACTAATGGGCCAGTTAATGCACCAGGTGAACTGGGGTACTTATCACTTTCTCATCCATCTACAAGAATATAATATTCCTGGCCATAGTTTCTTTCTCTATCTTGTTTGTGGCTGCATCTTCTGAGCCCAGAATACTGCCTGGCCCGGAGTAACCATAATAAATGTCTGCTGAAAAAAAGAATTAATTCACTCACTAAATAATTCAGTTCATCTTCTATTAGAAACCTGTAGCAGGTTCTTTGACAGTTTGTAAGATGAAAATGCTTGGCCCTTATTGTGCACTGGAGATCATATGCTTGAGGTGAAGAGCAGACTATCTGGAGTCATATTCCTTGGGTATGAATCATACCCCCCAAAATCACCAGCTGGGTGACCCTGGATAAGTTTCATAACATCTCTGACCTTTGCTTTGTACATTTTGTCATTTAGGAACGGGTAGTCATAATCTACTCCTTACAGTACTATGTTAAGGTTAAATTATCCAATACATATTCAGTGCTTAACATAATGCCAGGGCATACTAAACAACTGTTCTTGTTTGGGATACTATTTTCACCACTTAATAACATTCAGCTCATCTGAAACAACTCGTATCTCTAAAACCAAGTGAAATTACTCTGGAAAATAAAAATTTTAAATACTGTAAAATCTTAGTTATGGCAAAATGCCTAAGGCACAGTAAATTACAATCCAATTCACTGCAATTATGAAGAAACCTCAGGAAATTTGATTTCCAGTAGTTGTAGCCCTTGCATTAGAGAACTCTCTCTTTATCTCCTGTGCATCACTTTCTAAGCAATTACTTTACAATCAGACAGGCAGCATCAAGTTGTTCTTTTTTCCTAAAAAGTGTGGATGAAAACAAAGTCTCGGCAGGGGTGGGTACAAAAATGAAAGAAAGGTGTTCATGGGGCCCTTGCCTAGAGAGTAAGAGAAAACAGATAATATCCCTGAAGGGAGACCCTCATAACAATGCTACACGTGTTTCTATTTATTCCAAACTGGAATTAAAGAAGTTAGATTACCTGTTTGCATCCACCATGATTTTAAATAGAGAAAACCCTAAAGACTCTACCAAAAGAAAATGTTAGAACCAATAAATGAATTTAGCAAAGTTGGAGAATACAAAGTCAACATGCAAAAGCAGTTATATTTCTATACTTTAACACTGAAATATATGAAAAAAATAGGAAGACAATCTCATTTATGGTAGCATCAAAAAGAACAAAATAATTAGAAATAAATTTAACCAAGAGGGTGAAATATCTATACACTGAAAACTGTAAAACACTGATGAAATACATTAAAGAAGATAAAAATAAATGAAAAGATATTTCATGTTTATGATGGTAAAAATTAATATTGTTAAAATATCATACTACTCAAAGTGATCTACAGATTCAATGCAATCTCTATTAAAATTCCAATTATATGTTTTTAAGAAACAGAAAAAGAATCCTAAAATATAGATGGAACCACAAATAGCCAAAGAAATCTTGAACAAAATATACAAAGCCAGAAACATCACATTACCTGATTTCAAAACTTACTGCATACAAAGCTATAATAATCAAAACGTGGGTAAATTTTATGATGAAGATGCCAAAAGCAATGGCAACAAAAGCCAAAATTAACAAATGGGATCTAATTAAACTAAAGAGCCTCTGCACAGCAAAAGAAACTATCATCAAAGTGAACAGACAACCTACAGAATGGGAGAAATTTTTTGCAAACTATGCATAACTATGCATCTGACAAATGTCTAATATCCAGCATCTATAAGGAACTTAAACAAATTTACAAGAAAAAAAACAAACAGCCCCATTAAAAAGGGGGCAAAGGACATAGACACTTTTCAGAAGAAGATACACATGTGGCCAACAATCATATGAAAAAAAGCTCAATATCACTGTATATGCAAATCAAAACAACAATGAGATACCATCTCACACAAGTCAAAATGGCTATTACTAAAAAGTCAAAGAATAACAGATACTGGCGAGGTTGTGGAGAAAAAAGAAGGCTTATACACTGTTGGTGCGAATGTAAATTAGTTCAACCTTTGTGGAAGACAGTGTGGCAATTCCTCCAAGACCTAAACTCAGAAATACCATTCGACCCAGCAATTTCATTACTAGGTGTATACCCAAAGGAATATAAATCATTCTATTATAAAGACACATGCACACGTATATTCATTGCAGCACTATTCACAATAGCAAATACATGGAATCAACTCAAATGCCCATCAATGGTAGACTAGATAAATAAAATGTGGTACATATACACCATGGAATACTACGCGGCCATAAAAAATGAGATCAAGTCCTTTGCAGGGACATGGATGGAGCTAGAGGCCATTGTCCTTAGTAAAGTAATGCAGGAACAGAAAACCGAATACCACATGTTCTCATTTATAAGTGGGAACTAAATGATGAGAACACATGGACACATAGAGGGGAACAACACATGCTGGGGCCTATCAGAGAGTGGAGGGTGGGAGGAGGTAGAGGATCAGGAAAAATAGCTAATGGACACTAGGCTTAAAACCTGGGTGATGAAATAATTGGTACAACAAACACCCATGACACATGTTTACATATGTAACACACCTGCATATCCTGCACATGTGCCCCTCAACTTAAAAAAAAATCAAAACAATGTGGTATTGGCACAAAAAAAAATAGATATAGGGACCAATAAAACAGACTAGAGATCACAGAAATAAATCCACTCATCTACAGTCAACTGATCTTTGACAAGGGTGCTAAGAAGACCAATAGGGAAAGGAGAGTCTGTTCAACAAATGTTGTTGAGAAAACTGGATATCCACATAAAGAAAAATGAAATTGGGCCCTTATCTCATCCACATAAAAAAACACATTAAAATATGTTGAAGGCTTATATATAAGACCGCAAACTGTAAAATTACTAGAAGAAAACACAGGGGAGAAGCTTCTTGACATTGGCCCTGGCAAAGGTTTTTGGATATGACCCAAGAAACACAGGAAGCATAAGCAAAAATAAACAAACGAGATTGCATCAAACTAAAAAGTTTCTGCACAACAAAAAATCAAAAGTATCAAAAGACAAACTATGGAATGGGAGAGAATATTTGCATACCATATTTCTGTACAAGGTTAATATCGAATATGTATAAATAATTCAAATGACTCAATAGCAAGACAACAAATAACCTGATTAAAAATGCACAAAGGACCTGAACAGACATTTATCAAAAGAAACCATACAACCATACAAATGGCCAACAGATATATGAAAAGGTGCTCAACATCACCAATCATCAGGAAGATGCAAACCAAAATCAAACACAATGAGATATCACCTCACACCTTTACCTTTTAGGATGGCTTTCATCAAAAAGATGAAAATAAGAAGTGTTGGTGAGGATGTGGAGAAAGGAAAACCCTTGTACACTGTTGGTAGGGATGTTAATTAGTTCATCTATTATGGAAAACAGTACAGAAGTTCTTCAAAAAATTAAAAATACAACTACTAGGTGGTACAGCAATTCCATTTCTGGGTATATATCCAAAGTGAATCAAATCACTATCTCTAAGAGATATCTTCCTCTCATGTTCATTGCAGCTTTATTCAAAATAGCTAAACTACATAATCAATCTAAGAATACATTAACAAATGAATAGTTAAAGAAAATGTGGTATATATACGCAATGAATACTACTCAGTCTTCAAAAAGAAGGAAATCCTGTCCTTTGTAGTGACATTAATAAATCTTCAGGATATGATAAGTGAAATAGGCCAGCTATATAAAGAAAACTACTATGAGATCTCATTTATATATGCTATTTTTAAAACTCAAACTCATAGATATTGAGAGTAGAATAGTGGCTACCAGGGCCTGGGGGTGTAGGGATACTGGGAGATGTTGTTCAAGGAATACAAAGTTTCAGTCATATAGGACAACTAAGTTCTGTAAGTATATTGTACAGCATTGTGACTATAATAATTGTACTATATACTTAAAAATTGATGAGAGTAGATTTTAAATAAATTTTCTCACTGAAAAGAAAGATAAGAATGTGAGATGATAGATAGGTGAATTAGATTGATTTTATCAACATTATGTAGTACCCTATAATTATATGCAATAAAATAAAACTGGTGCTTGCTCACTAAAAAAAATAAAATTTTAAAATTGATGCATATTTTACAATAATTATTACAGTGTCTATGAACATATTTTTGCAATATGAATATTTATGAAATATAAACCAACAGCAGGAATGAAAGGTGTGAAATGGCAGAATGTCACAGAATGCCACGTTATAGATGCACAGTTTCAGGAGACAGGCTACATTGCCTGCTGATGGAATGTTGCCATTATCAAGCTGAGGAAATGCTGCCCAGACTTCAGATTCCTTTCTCCCAATTATTGATTCTGCTGAAGTGAAGTCCAGCAAGCTTCACTGCAAGCTCAACGTTAAGGGGATAAAATTCAGTCATCTCTTAAATGGACAAAATACCTATATTTTCTCCATGTTCACCTAAGTCAGCACTACGATCTAAATATTTGTTCACCTCCCATCTGCCCAAATTCACATGTTGAAATCTAATCACCAATGTGATGTTATTAGAAGGTGGGGCCTTTGGGAGATGATTAGGCTCATGAATTAGGTTATGGCCCTTGCAAAAGAAAAAAATAGGCCTCAGAACACTACTTTGCTCCTTCTGCCAGGTGAGGAATTAGCAGAAGGAGCCATTTATGAACCAGAAAGTGGACCCTCACCAAACACAGAATCTGCTGGCCCCTTGATCTTGGAGTTTCCAACCTCCAGAACCATGCAAAATACATTTATGTTGTTTATAAGCTACCCAGACTATGGCAGTTTTTAATAGCAGCCCAAATCCACTAAAACAGTCTCTCTTTATTTGCCTGATATCCTGGGATTGTTGTATAAAATGATTTGGAAAAGTATCAATGATTAATCACCCTGGAAGTGCATTTGTTACACAAAAAGGGGGTCTTGGAGCTACAGAGGCTTGTCCCAAAAGAAGGAGTTGTAAAATCTCAGGTACTGAATCATTCTCTTTAAATAGCAGGATTCAAGAATATGATGTAGAAAGACACAAGCAACAAGTCCATGTGAACTTTCAAGCTGTCTGTGTAACATCAGACTTCATTAAGGTCAATTGTATTTGGAGTAGGCTGCATGGGACACAGTCACTATGATTCAAACATACCCACGAACAGTGGCACAGTATTTTATAGTATGTATTATCTTGTGGCAAAAAATGTTATTGAAGGATAGTGTGTTCTGTATTTTTAGAAGTCTAGTTTTAAGACAGCAGTATGAGTCTCTCAACTCTATCTTTCACTAAAATTTATGGGAAGGGGCAAAGCTACATCAAATAGAAGTATTTAGCCAGGCTAGAAAACAAATAAGAAAGGAAAATAACGTTTTCAAGTGTTACTTTTTCTTCAAATTTGTCTATAATTTAAAATTAATTTGAATAAAAATACTAACAAGTTATTTTTGTGGAACTATAACATTGATTTAACAATTAAGATAGAAAGTACTGGACTTTAAAGGAGCCAAGACAATTCTCAAGGAGAACAAAGAAGGAAGGAGAAGTTGCCTTACCCAATAGCTAATAATTAAGATACTCTAGTAATCAAAATAAGTGTTATTGGAAGAGGGATAGACAAATAATTCAATGAAATATTATAAGATATTCAGAAAGTGCCCCAAGTACATCTTGGAACTTGGTCTGTATTGGAGGTGAGACTACAAATAAAGAAGTAAGGAATTAATTGCTCAATAAATGATGCTAGGAAAATTGTCTTTCTGAAAGTCAAAATTAATAAAATTGGATATCTAAGTCACTTCACACACAAAAAGAAATTTCAGAAATTTAAATGAACTATTAATAAATGTGAAAAATTTAGAACTAGTAGGAAAAAGTACAGGTTTAGAATTTCTTAATTGAAAAATGGCAATTATAATCTATTAAGAATTATTGATACATTTAACTACATTATAACTATATAACAATAATAACTTTGAAAGAATTTTTAACAATCAAACACATTAAAGGCAACTGCTATAATAGAGTAGCACTGAATTCAATGTAATGTCTCACAATTGCTGCACTCTCCCTCACCCAAGTGTACAGATTCTCTCTCTGTGCTGCACGGCTGCTGCTGAGAGATGGGGGAGGAGTGGTGTCCTTTTTCAGTGCCTTTTTTCAGTGACATGAATGTAAAACCGGGTATTGTGAGTGCTCACCTGATTTTTGGTTCTTATAAAGGTGCTTTTTGTGCATAGATAGTAGTTAAGTTGGTGTCCTTGCAGAGGGGAGAATCAATGGAGCCTTCTATTCTGCCATCTTGCTCCACCCTTCCTCAACTTGTTCATTTGATTTTTAGTGTTTTTTTCAAGGAACAACACCCTCTGTTTGGCCATTTTTGTACCCTTAGAAAATTGTGAATTAGGCAATATAGAGGTAAGTACTTTGTATCTGTCCTTCGGAAAACCCCCAGTCAAATCATAATATACAAATAAAATTTTTTGGAAATAAATGCTACTCTGCTCTCTCCAGAACCAGGCATCTACACTGATAATTAAGGCTGTGGTCTTTAAGATTCCACCACACTGGTGAGTGTGGTGAGGCAAGACTAATTTAAAATAACATAAAGTTTTCCTACTTTGTCAAGTCGCCATTTCTTGAGCCACCATTTACTATGTTTGCTGTGAATCTTTGACTATTTTCCACAATTCTGACAAAGTTGATTCTAATAGTTTTGGAGGAATTTTGTTTGATTGGTTGGTTGGGTGTGTGTGTGTGTGTGTGTGTGTGTGTGTGTGCATGTGTGTGTTTCTGTGGAGAGATGGACCCCTGGAGCCCCTTACTGCATGGCATTCTCCCCACTCCTAGATGATCTTAAATGTAGAGCCATTTAATTTAACCCACCCTAGATCAATGAAATCACACATGATGTACAAACAAGACTGCAAGAATAATATGCTTGTAGTTTTAAACCACTAGTTTGGGGGTAGTTTGTTACACACATTTTTGGAGTATGAGCTGACTAAAAATATACTCTGCATTGTGTTATGTTAAGAGTAAACATAGAGTACAGTAATGAGAATAAGTGAGAAAAACATGTAACCAAGTAATTGTATATTCTATCCACAAATTTTAGAATATGTAAATAATTGTAGTTTGCATTTACATGCTTTGTTATTTTTAACATGCAGTGAAAACATACATGTTTAGCTGCGTGAAATATGCTAAAATACATTGAGCCGACAATTTCCAATGTAAGATATTTCTCAAACTGAGTCTAGGACTCCTAAAATATAGGGTTAATGATGGAAAAATCCTAACACAAGTAAGGCTTCAAAAGAAAGTGTAATTAAAATGTATAAAACTTTAAATTACAGCCAGGGGTGGTGGCTTACGCCTGTAATCCCAGCACTTTAGGAGGCCAAGGCGGACAGATCACCTGAGGTCAGGAGTTCGAGACCAGCCTGACCAATATGGTGAAACCCTGTCTCTACTAAAAATACAAAAAAAATTAGCCAGGCTTCATGGCGTGCACCTGTAGTCCCAGCTACTCAGGAGGCTAACACAGGAGAATTGCTTGAACCTGGGAGGTGGAGGTTGCAGTGAACCGAGATCACATCACTGCACTCCAGCCTGGGTGACAGAGCAAGACACTGTAAAAAAAAAAAAAAAAAAAAAAAAAGAAAGAAATTTTAAATTACATAGAAAAATTTCAAGAAAACAGTGCCTACTTCATTAAGCAAGATGTTTTTTTCTCCATGATATTCTATCAAAACAGGCATAGGAATAATGGAAAATGATCATTGGCCTCTGTTTGATAAAATACCCATTATTATGAAACTGTTACATTTCAGAAATTTATGCATAATGTTCCAAGAATCAGATAGGAAAAAAATACGTTCTTAGTGAAGCTTATTTGGAATATCTACTGTTTGGTGCAAATACCTTTGGCTAATTGGGCAATTTGCTACCGCTAGTGAATTTGTCAATTGATGAAAAGAATATTATGTGAACATCTTCCAGGCAAAATGAAATATGAAGCAATTATTCTTTTAACTAGATCTTCTAAATGAAGCTTCCTTTCAACTGTAGTTTGTGAAGTTCTGTATAAGTTCTTTTCACTTAGAACTTCTAAATGAAATTTTACAACTACCATTGTTATATACACACATTATGAAAGCAGAATTGGCTTCCACTCCATTTCTCATAAAACTATCAACTTAAAGAAATTTTCAAGACATAGGCAGTATAGTAAGATATAGAGAAAACAAAAAGGTAAAAAGTGGAAGGATGAAGTTAAAGTGTAGAGTCTTTATTCTTTTTTTTCTTTGCTTGAGTTTGTTTTTGTAATCAGTGTTGTCATCAGTTTAAAATAATGGGTTGTAAGAAGTTATTGCAAGCCTCATATTACCCTCACATCAAATAACCTACAGCAAATACACAAATAATATATAGCAAGATATTAAAACACAAAAGCAGAAATAATAACCTTCACATGAAGGAAGATAGGGAAAATAAAAAGAAGACAACATAACAGCCAGAAAAGAACAAAGTGGCAGGAGTAAGTCCTTATTGTCAATAATAATATTGAATGTAAATGGACTAAGCTCTCCCGTCAGAAGACAGAGTGATTCAATGGATAAAGAAACAAGACCCAACTATATGTTGCCTACAAGACACATGCATCATTTATAAAGACACATATACACTAAAAACAAAAGGATGGAAAAGATATTTCATGAAAATGGGAACCAAAAAGGGGCAGATATATAGATATATACTTATAAAGAAAAACTAGATTGCAAGACAAAAACTATAAAAAGAGACAAAGAATGATGATAATGATTGTTTTATATAATGATAAAGGGGTCACTGCTGCAAGACGATATAATGATTGTAAATATAAATATATCCAAAACTGGAGCATCCAGATATATAAAGCAAATATTATTAGAACTAAAGATATAGATAGATTACAATAAAAGAATAGCTGGAGTCTTCAACACCCCACTTTCCGCAATGAATAGATCACTGAGATGATATTTTTTAATTAAAAAAATTTTTAACTTTTATTTTAGGTTTGGGGTTACATTTGAAGGTTTGTTACATAGGTAAACTTGTGTCACAGGGGTTTGTTGTACACATTATTTCATCACTGAGTTATTAAGCCCAGTATCCAATAGTTATCTATTCTGCTCCTCACCATTCTCCCACCATCCACCCTCAAGTAGACCCCAGTGTCTGCTGTTCCCTTCGTGTTCATAAGTTCCCATCATTTAGCTCCCACTTATAAATGAAAGCATGTGGTGTTTGGTTTTATGTTTCTGTGGTAGTTTGCTAAGGAAAATAGCCTCCAGCTTCATCCATGTTCCTGCAAAAAAAAACATAGTGATTGGGATGGTGTACAAGGGAGCTTTTTGATGCTGTCAATATACACTGAGGATCAGTTTGTGATATATTATTGAGTTTTTATTTGTATTTGCTAAAGTTTTTGTATGTATGTGATGGTGATGTATTCATGATAAGAAGGTTAAATTTTGCTGCATACTAATTTAAATCTTCTAAAAATTAAAACATAAAGACAAGGGATAAATAATGATGTAGAAAAATATTTCCTACATGCAAAGGACAAAGGATTTCTAAATCACCAAGGTTACATCTGTTTTCCTGGCCTCCTAAAAACCTTAGAGCTTTAAGCTACCTTTCTGCCAATGCTGAAGCTGCATGTTAGAGTATTGAGGTTGTTCATTATTAGCTCCATAATAAATGTGCAGAAAATGTAGAGTCAGTTTCCTCTTGTCTTTGATAAGGGAGACATATCCTTCTGTATTCCTTCTGTATTTTCCACTAAAGTTTTTTCAAAAAGAGAGTTTAAGGAGGGAATACATATTTAATAAATGGGTTTTTAGATGTAGAAAACACTGAGTTATGGTTTATGCACAATTTAAAGGGATGAGCTGGGTAAGAAAGTCTGTGCCAGGCATACAGGAATTGGGGTTTAGTAAAATGAAAGTGGTGGTGATTAGAGAAAAGACCTTCTTTACAGCACCACTCTCATTCTTCTTCTTTTTCACCTCTGTTTTCACTTGTCTGGATAAGGAAGATCTCTCTCCCAACCAGTACTGGTGTGTGAAGAGGAACAGATATCAGAGCAAAAAGTACCTCTGAGCTGTAAGGGCTGGACTAATTCTAGGACAGAGTTAGCAAAATAAAGTTGCCATTAACTGAAAAGCTGAACATCATGAATAACAAATGTACCAAGCGCAAACACAAACAAAAAAGAAAGTCTATGTTCAAATGACCCCAGAGCCAATATATTTTTAAAGTAGAACATCATTGCAAAGTGGATTGGAACACCATGGATACAAATAATGTGAATATTATATGATATCTGTCTGCCAAAGTATGCAAAAAAAAACCTGGATAATCTAAGCTCCAATAAACCTGTGAGGAATATTAATGATCTCCAATTAAATTAATAATATTGGGTAAAATAGAAAATAATAACAATATTTTAGAATTGTAATCAAAGGGTTTTTTATTCCCAATTAATTTTTAAACAAAGTTAATGTTTAAGGTTTCTGAAAATTGTCATTGAATATAAAATTTATCCATTAAAATATTTAAATTATTTTTTCAGATATTATTTCTACCTTCTACTAATTGAAATTCCTGATATTGTAGCTTAAGTCATTGCTAGAAATGGTGCTGTCATGCAAAAATGTGCTAAGATAATTATGTAATAAACAAATCAAGAATGCATATTCAGCTTTCAACATTCCAGTCAATTATCTAGAACAGAGAGATTCTTATTTTTAAGCCATATCCAGCAAAAAGGGCACCCTTTTACAGGATATATATTATCCACATTGGAAAAAATAAGTAGCCCTGATTTTGGTAATAATTCTTTTCCCTGACCAAAACACTTTTGACCAACATATTTTCATCGGCAACTCTGAAGTTTTAATTTGACTCATATATAGGTTATAATTAAGGATATAATTGAGAAGGATTAGAAAGATGTTAAAATAACCTTGTAGAGAGTTTCACAAAGCCAATGTCAGAAAGAATGTTACAGATCATTGGTGGCAGTCATAAAATACAAGTAAGCATTATTAAAGTCATAATACTTTTAAAAATTCATTCTAGTTTATTCAGTATTTCTACCTTAAGTAACCTACACTGATGATATGTTTTTTCATGCTCACAGAATGACATTTAAATTAATGTTTCAGTATGAAATTGTTCTTAATAGTATAAAATTGAAGGCAGCCAAAATATTTATCAATAGAGCAGATATAATAATATTCAAATTTATACAATGAAATAATGCAAAGACATTAAAGCACATACATTGGATCTGTATGTACACATGGAAAGATAACCAAGATATGCTGCCCAAAAATAATTCCAGAATATTATGATGTACCCTCCATTTTTATAATACTTCTGTGTATTAATATACATATAAAAAAGTTTGGGGGCTTTTTCATGAAACCATTCATGATTATCTGGGAGAAGAGTTCTCCAGGGAGTTTCACCGTCTATGTTGTATATCTTAATAGTATTTGAATTTTATATAAATTCATATTACATTGTGGTTAGGAGAAAAGATGAAAAAAAGAAGACGTCATTATATTTAATGTCTAGTTGAGTTTGCAATATGCTAGTGGTGGAGCTGGACAGTACGTTAGGCAGAACCTATATCAGATTATGTCCATGGCACAATTAGGCTTGTGTCTTTCTCAAGGTCCACAGTTCGTTGACTTTCATGGAAAGGCTTGGGAAAACAGTTGTAATTATCTTGGGTCCCTAGACCTCACCTTCCTATAACAAAGAGAAGTAAAATAATTTTGTCTGCAAAACAAATTTTAAAATAATGTTGTGGCGGTGTAACCTTTTTGAAATAATAATTTTATTATAATAGTATTTTATAGAAATGAGAGAACCTCACTATTTTAACTGACGGAAACTATTAATACAGCATTCAATTTGCAGAGTTAATACAAGAAAAAAATGTTACCAGGAAACTGATTTATATGGGCCTCTCCACAGTTATTATCCTCTGTGAACACTGTTACGGCTTCTCTCACCATGAATTAGTTTTGTATGACTTTTATATAAAGTAAAATTTATTTAAATTGAGCCATTCTGCATGTGCTATTTTGTGGCTGGCTTCATTCATCCATGCATGTTGTGGTGAGAAGCAGTGATTAATTTATCTTCATAATAGCATAGTATTTCTTTTGTATGAATATACACATGCAATTATTTTTCTGTTAATGGCATTTGAGTTTCTTCTGTTGGGACATTTATTAAAAATACTGTTATGAATGTTCTTGCAAATGCATTTTGGTAAACATATATGAACATTTCTTATGAGTACATAGAGGTAAAACTACTAGATAATAAGATTACATTGATTTAACTTTAGTATAGAATGCCAAATAGTTTACAAAGTAGTTATGGTACCAATTTACACTCTGACCAGCTGTAGTAAAACTTATTTATTTTAGGGACAAGCATGTGTTCCTTAAATATTTGAACAAATTCACTGGTAAAGCCAAATGCACTTGGAGTTTGGTATGAGAGTAGGTTTTGAATTTCAGCCTCAATTTCTTTATAACATAAAGAACAATTCTAATTTTTATTTATTCCTACTCAGTTCAGTTAAATGGTTTTTTCAAGGATTTATTTTATTTGAATTGTCAAATTGTTGTCATAACATTCTTTATATAACATCTTCCGGTAATCTTTTAACAATGATAGAATCTACAGAAATGTACCCTTTTTGATTCTAATACTGATCATTTGTGTCTTCTCTTTTTCCCTTGATTTATGAGTTTATCAATGTTGTTTTTTAAAAGAAACAATTTTTGTTTTGTTTATTTCATTGCTTGAATGTTTTATATTTATTGTACTTCTGCATGTATCATTTTCTACTTTTTGGGGTTAATTTGGTGATTTTCTAGCTCATTAAGATAAATACACAGATTGTTGATTTTTAGCCTTCTTTTCTAATATAAACAACTAAGTCTATAAAATCTTTTCTATGCCCGGTTTTAGTTGCATCCCAAATATTTTTATGTGCCAACTATCTTGTCATTTATTTCCAATAATTTTCTAATATTCATCATGATTACTTCTTGACCTATGGATTATTTATAACTATAAAGCTTAATATAAAATATTAAATGATTTTTCCATTTATCTTTTTGATACTGATTGTTAATTTAATTCTACTCTCTGCAAAGACCATAATCTCCTTTAAAATGTTTTGAAACTTGTTTCATTGTTCATAATATGGTTAATATTGGTAACTTTCCAAGTACACCTGAGAAGACTATATATTGTAATTATACAGTGCATTGTTCTACATACGTCAATTAGGTCAAGTTCATTAGTGGTATTCTTTAATCCTAATCAAAACCCCAGCAAAGTTTGTTTATTTATCCATAAAAATCTGACTCTAAGCAGGGAAAAAGAAAAAAGGCCACACCCATCTCAATGTATATTATTACTCTTAGGACCTGGGCCTCACAAGTCCTGACTTCTTTTATTGCCTTTCGATGTTCTTTGCATTTTATGTAGCTTTTATAGCTGTTTGCAGTGGGAGGGTGGTTGTGATATAAGCTGCTCTACCAGAACTGAAAATGGAACTCCTTCTCCAACCACCGTATTTTTATTGTTGGTATTACTATTTCTAATGGAATGAATGAATTTTCTTAAAATAGTACAAAAGAAATATATTCATGGGATTTTAAAAATCTTTTCTTTTTTCATGTTGCTTGAATGTATTGTTATTTAACTAGTGTGTTTCTGGAAGACAGAATGTATAATAAATATAAATCAAAGCTCTTTCAATGCAATGGGTATTATTTACATGTGAAGAATGGCAGCATTTACCTTAAATCATTATGTTTCCAAAGGGCTTGCCCAGCTATAGGCAGAGTAAATCGTTTCTGTTTGGGAGACATGTTGCTGAGGCCTAAGGCAAAGTTAAGCAAGTCTCATCGAACATAGGAGTCTCATACGCACCATACCAATAATTTTTCTGCCATAAGACAAAGTTATCATATGTTGCAGATATGTGTGGTGATTGATTGTAAATTTGTATGTGTTTGCATGAACGTGACTGCTTGACATGACTGTGGGTGTAATATTTATGTGCATACAGTTTGTTTAATGGCCTATATGTGGCTGGCTTATCTGTAGATGTCTAGGAAGAGTTATACATATTTATGGATAGACGTATGGTGTACTAGGTCTATTAGCACATGTGTGTACAGCTGGCATGGGCCAATATGTCTCTGTAGGCTGAGTATCCAAAGGAAGGATTTCAGGGACCTGGGGAGGAGTTATCCCAGGATGGGGATATGGAAGGAGGACACCAGTCACTTTAGTAGTCTAAATACTAGATATTTGTATTTTTTGGCATTTAATGACCAATACACTGTGACCTTTTACCAAATCATTTATGTTTATGCCCATTCTCCTAAAAGGTCTTCTGCCAAAGTACACTGAGAACATTCTAATTTGTGTAGCATAAGAACCCCTGACCCTGCCAAATTCCCAAATTCCTTTCACTTTTCATCCAATGAATCTGGAGCTCCATCTTTGTGTTCTTAGCTGTTTTTCCTAGTTCATACAATAATGCTTTCCTGAACCACAATGTCTGCACCTACTTGATCACAAATGTGACCTCTTCCCATATGACCTGCTACATCCATGAACTGTATCAAGCTAAACACCACTGGGTTATGTTATAATTCTTTAGATACTAATTTCAGCAAGTAAATCATGCATTTCCTGCTTAGTCATCTTCCTACCATTGCAGTCTCATAATGGCTTCCTTACTACCATTATTAGCCCAAAGGAACTTGTGGTTGAGTCCATGATGCTATTGTCATTGACAATTACTAGGGCCAAAAACAGTCCTATATTCTAAGCCTAAATAAAATAACAGACTATTTTAATTGCATTATATAAGATTAGAAATGATAGGGAATTATTTTAAATATTTTATGGTAATTGTACATTTCTTACTCAACTTGATGAATATTACTGGCAGAAAATTAAAATTCAAATGTACTCATAATAAAAATGTTATCTAGAATTTAATGAAAAAACTAATTATTATAATTTTGTAGGAGTGGGAAAATCCCCAGAAACAATTTAAAATAAAAGATTCTGAAAGTGCTCAAATCTTGTATGGAATGAAGATTGTGACCACAAGGAGACATTGTGGATGCACTGAAAACAAGTCAGATTGAAAAAAACTTTATGTCCTTTATATAGAGTATCAGTATATTAGTATCGTAAGTGAATGCCTTTGACAGTATTTCTTGATTTCAATAAGATGCACAAAATGTACCTAACAGAATCATTATGGAGAAAATGCAAAAACATGGGCTAAAACCAATTAGGCAGATTCACAGCTGGTTGGACCTTCATATCCACAGTATAAATTAACCAATAAAAGTTAACCTGGGTCAGATATTCTGTCAGGTCGTTATAGATCCTATGTATTTGGCAGCCTTTAGGCTTGTCTGTAAAGGATTTTATTTCTCCTTCGCTTATGAAGCTGAGTTTGGCTGGATATGAAATTCTGGGTTGAAAATTCTTTTCTTTAAGAATGTTGAATATTGGCTGTAACTATGTACCGTGTACAGTGCTAAGTGCTGCACACTCATGATCTCAGCGAATCCTTCACAATCCTGAGAGGCAGCAAATAGGACATTTAGTCTGTGAGTAAACTGAAACCTAAGGAGGCTACGAAACTGACAACAATCATAGAGATAGTCAATTGTAGAGCTGGGATTTGAAACTGCGTCTGTCTCAGGCACATAGCACCCAACATAACACCTCTCATAGGTCCCAACTCATGCGGCAGCAGCAACAATAAAGGGTCCCTGTCCTCATATTTCTTCTCTCTTCTCCTATTGTATAACAAATTTATACTGGATAGGAATTATTGAGCCAAATGATCTCTTTGTCTTAACAACTTTTAGATTCTACAAACCAAATCCGGAGCCTTGCCCAGTACCAGCCCAGAAAGTAGCAGAGGTTAGGTAAACATACGAAGAGTAAGGCAGAGCTCACACTTCCACTGACGATAAACATTCCAGAATTGCAGTAGAGAGGGTCTTGCTTTTATTTTGAAGGAAACTTTATACCACACAAGCAAAATTGGAAGCACCCCATGACAGCATTTGCCAACACGGCTCAGCACACTTTAGCAGAGAATAAACAAGCACTGAACATGGAAATTGGGAAGAAGTCAAGTGCTATCATCTCCCTGTACATTGATTCAGTGCTCCAGGCTTTGGATGACTTGCTGTAAATTCATTTTTCCACACCATGGTTTCTTGAGGTCTGGATTGTTTACTAGCTGTGTGGCTTATAATTTAAGACACATTAAAGAAAAGTTATCTTTAAAAAGAACTTCATATTAAAAAAATAAAAAGCTAATCATGTTGTTAAAATATTTGGGATTGAATAGTGCCTTTAGAGAATGTGTATATTACAGAAAATAATATTCAGTACAAGCATGCAAATTTAACTAATGATGCATGAACATTTGAATGTAGTAAGCACAATAAAGAAAATCATGAAAATATGACAAAAATGTCTCTCACAGTCTTGATTGTTGCACATTTTGGCCCCAAAAACTTTAATGAGGCTGCAGTAAAGGAATCATTTGACATATGTTAGTTTTCGTTTTCCTGAAAGTCACAGATACAAAATTTAGTTGGCTATCTGGGTTAAGTACCAATACAAAACACTTTTCTTTAGTTTTGTTGCTAACATTTTTCTCACAAAATTTCATTACCAAGCTTTATTTTTACAATCAGTTATTTGATGTGCCTATTCAGATGCAAGTATGACCCAAAAAACAAAATTACAAGCTGTATAACATGTCCAAAATAACCACTAATTTTTCCAAAATGTTATTAAAATAATCCTTGGCCGGGCACAGTGGCTCACGCCTGTAATCCCAGCACTTTTGGAGTCTGAGGCAGGCAGATTACCTGAGGTCAACAGTTTGAGACCAGCCTAGCCAACATGGTGAACGCTGTCTCTAATAAAAATACAAAAATTAGCCGGGTGTGGTGGCCCACACCTGTAATCCAAACTACTTGGGAGGCTGAGGCACAAAAATCGCTTGAACCCAGGAGATGGAAGTTGCAGTGAGCTGCGATGGCGCCATTGCACTCCAGCCTGGGCAACAGAGTCAGATTCTGTCTCAAAAAAAAAAAAAAATTAGGTGATCCAATAAAGTCCTCTATTGCTTAAAAAATAATTCTCCAATAAGTTTTTATTAATTCTTTTGAATTTTAAAAAAGTAGAGCAAATCTCACTGACTAAAATTTAGGGCACGTAATAACTACTTGATAAACACTAAAATTAGTGTTTGGAAAGGTGAATGAAATTGACAAGCTCACAATTTTCTAACCACAATTGCCATTTACTATTATACTGATAGAAGGATTTTAGTTTATTTAAAATTGGATAGATATTAGATGCCATAGAAATGGCCCACTAATTTGCTCAATTGATTGTTTTCAAAATCCTTCACTAGGAATTTGGAAAAGTCATACTTTTCAGTTTATTCTCAATATCAAAGTATTCATCTCTCTCCACCTCCAATAAGTTAGTCAATAAATTTTAACAACCATTTCTACACACATTCCTGCCAGGTCAAGAAGCAGCATTATTCCGTGTGTATCAATGAAGACATTTAGTATTACATACTGATTTTATTATGTATAAATATGCTCCAAGAGTGACAGACCTTTGATTTAGAACTCTTGAGCCGTGGGTCACTGTTTCTTCTAGTGAAAGCCAGGCTGCTCAGTTATGAGCTTCAGATGATAAAAAATTGATTCTACCATACCTCAAGCCAATAATCTGACACAGTATGGCAGCAAGGTGCTTATGACTGAATGTCTCTGCATACGGACCATATAGCAAAGAACTTTGTTTCTCACGGTGCACAAGGGTTACCACAGTATGCAGTGTTCATCAAATGCTAAAAGAGAGTTATAGTGGGAGCCAATTAAAAAAAACAGCCTTTGGCTCAGGTTTATATAACTCCTAGTCTCTATACAAGCTCCTGAAGAGGAAGTACTGTTGACATATTTGTCTTTCATATCTTCTGGCACAGGTTAGCCTCACAGAGGCATTTAGTGCCTTCTTGTTTACTTGTTTCACTGTCTTGACTTCTAGGCAGCATAATTGCACATGATTAGAAGGTATCTGAGTTTGTGACAGTTATATATGCTGAGACTGCCTTCTGGTTACTGGTAATAATCAGAAATGAAGTGGATAACAAAGGTAGAGATGTACGTGTGTGCCTGTGTGTGTGTGTGTGTGTAAGAGAGAGAGAGAGAGAGAGAGAGGGAGAGATCTTTCCCATCTGTTTCAGGAGTACATATTGTTGCCAGTTACAAGAATGCATGAAAAGCAAGTCTATCCATTCCACTTACTAGCCAGATTTCCCTCTTATTGGGGTGGGCCAAACTTCAATAGAGAAATGTATACTTCATAATAAATGTATAAAATCTGAATGCAAGACATGGAATAAAAATACATTTAGTTATCTGGTAATTTCACTATTTTGAAGCTAAAAGAGACGTCAAACATTGTTTATTCCAACTTCTTCATGCATGAAAAAGCAAAGGCTCAAAGAAGAGAAATAATTTCCCAAAGTCAAACAGCCAGCAAGGACCAAAGACTATTGACTTTTAGTTCAGGGATCATTGCACCTCACTAGGATGCCTTGCATGCTAGCGGGTCACTTTCCCATTTCCAACCTCATATTGTACATCAGTGAACTCACCAAAGCAACTCGAGTGAGGAAAGCCCTTTTCTGCAATTCGTTGAGTATCTATATAGGATTTTGCTAAGCCCTGTGATTTAGCATAATATTTCTAACCCATAGTTAATTTCAATCATTTGTAGTTTTTTAAATATTTCAGATAAATTTTTATTGTAGTAAACTACACACAAAACAAAATTTACCATCTTAACCTTCTTTAACTATACAGTTTAGTAATGTTAGATCATTCACATTGTTGTGCAACCAATCTCCAAAACTCTTTCATCTTGCAAAACTGAATCTCTGTCTCTTTTAAACAACTCTATAATTTCCTTTCCCCTCAGCCTCTGGCAACCACCATTCTACTTTCTGTATCTATGAATTCGACAACTCTAGGTTCCTTATATAAGTGGAATCATATAATGTTTGGTTTTTATTAAAGAAATGAATACACTTGTTTTTTACCCACATTTATGTTCACAATGTCACTTCACAAACAACTTTTCTCTTATCCTTACCCTCTCTCGTCCCAAATCCTACATCTACATAGATCCACAATGCATTTAGGATGTATTGAACATTGACATAAAGCTTGGAAGGAGACATGCAATGGAACAGGCAATAAAATCTAGAGGGGAGCAGAGTGAGGATTATCTACCCATCTACCTACTAATTTCCCTTTCTCCTCCTCCTCCTTCTCTATCTCTATCTCTCTGTTTTTAGTTTTTGAGATTTGAAGTTGTGTAGAAGAGTTAAGGCTTATAGGGCCACTTGAAGGCTTATAGGGATTGGAAATTGGTAGGAATGGGGCAGGTGTTCACAGTAGCATTAGAATTAAGTAGGGATTAAATGTAAATCCAGACTGAAAATAAGCATAGAACTTTTAACATTTGTTGTGTGTAAACAGGATTGGCCTTAGAAAAAATTGAGAAGTAAATGAAGATTGTGCATTCTTTACTTTGCAGCCTTTCCTTGCTGTCATGGACAAGAATAAATTGTTTTCCAATGATTTAGGAGACTAATGTTTTGCTGCATTAATGATGTATATTTTTGAAACATATGAATTACTCCTTTATTCTTCTGCATCTCAGTATATGTCTGCTTCTTTCCTTCAGTTGTCTGATTCGAAAAACACAGAAACATTCTCCACTCTTCTTACATTCCACATCCAGTCCAACATCAACTCTTGCTAAAATATATTTAAAATATAACCTCATCTCACCATCCCTACTACTATAATCTTCATCCAAAGCACCATCATTTATCTCCTGGATTACAGCAGTAACTTCCTAAATAATTTCCTGTATTAGGCCATTCTCACATTGGTCTAAAGAAATATCTGAGATTGGGTAACTTATTAAAAAAAGAGACTTCATTGGCTCAATTGGCTCATGGTCCTGCAGGCTGTGCAGGAAGGATGACATCAATATCTGCCTCTGGGGAGGCCTCAGGAAGCTTAAAATAATGGTGGAAGGCAAAGAGGGGTAGCAGGCACATCACATGGAGAAAGAAAGAGCAAGTAAGAGAGAGAGAGTGGGGAGTGGGTGCGGGACGTGCCACACACTTTTAAACAACCAGATCTTACAAGAACTTACTCACTATCACAAAGACAGCACCAAGTCTTAAGGAACCACTCCCATAATCCAAACACCTTCTGCCAGGCCCCACCTTCAACAATGAGGATTATAAATCAACATGAGATTTGGGCAGAGGCAAATACCCAAACTATATCATTAACCTTTTTTTCATACGTTACCTCTTTTGGTCTATTCCCTAAGCCAGAAGGATCATTTTATTAATAAACTTTTATTTTGGGGGTACTTTCAGTTTCACAGCAAAATTGGTGGAAGGTACACAGAATTCCCATAAACCCCTGCTCATACGCATGCACAGCTTCCCCACTTCAACATCCGAAACCTAGAGTGGCATATTTGCTACATTCCATTAGCCTACGATGACACATTATTATCACCCAAAGTCCATAGTTTACATCAGGGTTCACTCCTGGTGTTGCACATTCTATGGCTTTTGAAAAATGTGTATTGACTTGTATCTACAATTATAGTATCATACAGAATAGCTTCACTGCCCTAAAAATCCTCTGCCTCCCTGCTATTTATCCCTTCTATGCTGTAACTCCTGGTAATTCCTGATCTCTTTATTGTCTCTAATTTTCTCTTTTACAGAATATCATATAGTTGTAATACAGTATGCAGCCTTTTTAAATTGGCTCCTTTTACTTATAACATGCGCTAAGGTTGCTCTATGTCTTTGCATGGCTTTAAAGCTCATATTTTTAACACTGAACAATATCCCATTGTCTGGATATACCCCCGTTTATTCATTCACCTACTGAAGGACATCTTGGTTGCTCTCATGTTTCAGCAATTATGAATAAAGCTGTTAAAAGCACCTGTATGAAGCTTTTTGTCAAGATATATTTTTAGCTCATTTGGCCAAATACCAAGGAGAACAATCTGGATTGTATTTTAGGAGTATGTTTAGTTATGTAAAAAACTGCCAAACTGTCTACGAAAGAGGTTGTACCATTTTGCATTCCCACAAGCAATGAATGAGAGGTTCTGTTTATCCACAAACTCACCAGCATTTGGTAGAGTCGCAGCTTTGAATTTTGGCCATTCTAATAGATTTGTAGTGGTATCAAATTGTTTTAATTTGCAAATTCCCTAATGTCATTTGATAACGAACAACTTTTAATATGTGTATTTGCCAGCCGTATATATTCTTTGGTGAGGTATCTGTTCAGCGGTCTTTTGTCTATTTTTAATGAGGTAGTTTGTTTTCTTATTGTTGAGATTTAAGAGTTTCTTATATGTTTTGGATGAGTTCTTTATCATATGTGTCTTTTGCAAATATTTTCCTACAATCTTTGGCTTTTCTTCTCATTCTCTTGACATTGTCTTTTGCAAATAAGAAGTGTTTAATTTTAATAAAGTCCAGGTTATCAAATATTTCTTTCATGGATCATGCCTCTTTTTTTTTGTTTTTTTTTTTTTTTGAGATGGAGTCTCACTCTGTCACCCAGGCTGGAGTGCAATGGCGCAATCTCGGCTCACTGCAACCTCCGCCTCCCAGGTTCAAGTGACCCTCCTGCCTCAGCCTCCTGAGTATCTGGGATTACAGGCATGCGCCACCGCGCCCAGCTAAATTTTGCATTTTTAGTAGAGACGGGGGTTTCACCATTGTTGCCCAGGCTGGTCTCGAACTCCTGACCTCAGATGATCCACCTGCCTCAGCCTCCCAAAGTGCTGGGATTACAGGCGTGAGCCACTGTGCCCGGCCCATGCCTTTATTTTTATACCTGATAATCATCGCGGTACTCACGGTTATCTAGATTTTCTTATATATTATCCTCTAGTAGTTTTTATAGTTTTGTACTATACGTTTAGGCGTAAGATCAACTTTGAGTTAATTTTTGTTAAAGGTGTAAGGTCCATGTCTAGAGTCATTTTTTTCTTGCTGTGTCAATGTTTCATTTCCAGCAGCATTTGTTAAAAAGACTATCTTTATGAGTGATGTCAGCAAGATGAAGGAATAGGAGTTTCCAGTGTTCATCTCCTTACAGAAACCAGTTTGAACAACCATTCAGACACAAAAAGACCTTCATATAAACTAAGGAATCCAGGTGAGACATTACAGCATCTGAGTGGAGCACATTTAAAAAAATAAAAGTAGAACTACCATATGATGCAGCAATCCCACTGCTAGTTATATATCGAAAAGAATTGAAATTGGGATCTCAGAGAGATATTATCACTCCCACGTTCATTGCAGCACTATTCACAATAGCTAAGATGTGGAAACAGCCTAAATGCCCATGGACAGATGAATGAATACAGAAAATGTGGTATATGCATACAGTAGAATACTACTCAGACTTTAAAAGAAGGAAATTGGGCAATATTACATAACGTGGATGGACCTTGATAATTTTATGCTAAGTGAAATAAGACAGCCACAGAAATACAAGTACTCTATGATTACACTGAGATGAGGTATCTAAAATAGTCAAATTTATAAAATCAAAGGCTGGAATGGTAGTTACCAGGCTCTGGAGGGAGGGAAAATGGCAAGTAATTATCAACAGGCATAAAGTTTCAGTTAAGTAAGATAAATAAGCTCTAAGGATATGCTCTGCAACATTACATCTATAGTCAAAGATAATACATTGTACATTTAAAATTTGTTAGAAGAATAAATCTCATGTTAAGTGTTCCTACCCTAGTGAAATAAAAATTTTAAAAACTAATTTTAATTCATTTTAAAAATCTAATGCACTGCTTTTCTATGCTTTACTATAGATAGGAATCACCTGGGATCTTAATAAAATGAAGAATTTGGTTTTAGTGCGTCAGAACTGGGGCTTGATATTTTTCGCTTCTTAAAAACAGGTGATGCCTGTGCAGCTGGTCCATTGATAATAAATTGTATAGCAAAGAATTTAGCAGTGATTCTCAAACCTTACTGCTCAATGGAATTACCTGGGGAGTTTCAAAGTAAACAGTTATCTTCATCCTACTCCCAAAGGTTCTGATTTAATTGGTTTGGAGTGTGGCCCGGGCATCAGAAATTTTAGAAAGATCACAGGTGATTCTAATGTGAAGCCAAGGGTACAAATCACAGTCCTTTTCACTCCTCTGTGGACCAGGATACTTTTTGTGATGGGTAGAATGGAAGCAAGTTAGGAATTACTATTTTAAAAGCTGCAGAGAAAACTGCTTTTGGTGGAGCATAATGACATTTGAAATAAGGCAGGAGCAACATCTGATTCTAGGCATGCCCAGTTCTACTGCTAGCATGCTAGGATCCTACTATTGTCAATTTTATCCCAGAACCATTCATTTGGGAGTTAGAAATGCAGAATCTCAGGCTTCAAATACACCTTTTAATAAGATTTCCCAGGTGGTAATGGGACAAATTAAGGTCCACGACTCACTACAGATACACAAGCTAACCAAGCAGCTCCCTTATAAAGGTCTTGGAAGCAAAAAGGAGAAAAAGAAAAGGATGCAATCAAAGGTGAATGAGAAATGCTAATGTAGCTTTTCAAGGAAGTGCCCAAATATACCCATTATACACGGTAAGTTTCAAATCTGTCAATCAATATCAATTTAGAGGCATATATAGATATAATTTCTTTAAAAGGCAAAATCTCACTTATAAAAGTGAAGCAAGGAAATAAAGATTTCATCCGGCAAATAACTTCAATATAAGAAGCTGAATGATCAGGCTGTTAGAATAGCAGAGTGGTCTCAAGATGTGCAAGTTGCTAAGAATGTGTATGCAGCTCTGGGGTATAAAGTTCATTTTCTTAGTGCATGCACTAAACACTGCTGACAGTATTGTAAAAAACAGTCCAGTAACAGCTCAGTGTCTACTTTTTGGTTCTCATTAGTGTTAAATTGTCGATGTGCAGGAACCACTAAGTAAGCCCTTCAAGATGATGGTATTGTATTAGGCACTCCACAGAGATTAATCTCTGGCTTTAACAACTTTTGAGTGTAATTTGCAATTTTCAAAATGCACAATTGTAAAAACTTCAGAGAAGTTGGTTGTCATTTCACATGATCAGGTTTAGTCCATTGGAGCTGTTGAATCTCTGCTAAGGAAAACCAATGTTACAGTATGGACACAGGAAACCACTGGCTAGCCTTGGGCATTGATGGGATCCTTGCGTTGGAAAGAGGTCTGTTAACTCTCACAGCCAGGGCTCTATGGCCAGGTGTACAATCGATAATGGAGGCAGTTCTTGGAAATATGAAAGCTGGGAAAAAGTAGAGGTGTGTTGGTGTTGGCATTCTTAAGTTCCCTACCTCCTATTCAGGCCTGCTCTAGTTCCCTTGTCTCTGAGGTCCAGAACATAACTTTTAAGGGTGGTACAGGGTGCTTGAAGACAGCATTCAACCTTTCAGTAACAACAGCCTATCTAAAAATTGAAAGCAATGAGGTTTGCCAATGATTGATATATGGCATTCTCACTTGGTTTTTCTGCCAGATGTTCAAGTGTTACATCATGTTCTGAGGAAAGCCTGGAGTCTGGACACAGCAATGACTTTTTAGTTTATTTGCTTTCAGCATGTAGCAACAGATTTCAATTTATATGTACTCAAGTATGTGATTTTATCATCTTAAATGGTAGAATCTTTGCAATATTGTATACTGGGATGGGGTGTGGGCACGACGTCTTTTGTTCCCCACTGAGGTTCACTGGTCAACTCCTGACAAGTCACCAAAAAATTAATTGAAAAAAATTAGACGTATAAACTTTTTTTAAATAAAATGATTTGGAGTTAATTTGCTGACATTTTCAATGATGACCAGTGATTGTGAGTAGTTGCTGCCTCAAAGGCATTTAAAGACACACACACACACACACACACACACACACACACTCTCACATCTAATCTGTTGCTTTAATGTTAAGTGGGTTTTTGCAAAGAACAAGAAAGTAGTTGGTGTTGAAAATAACTCATGCTATCTATAGAGTATTATAAAGAGAGGTTTTCTCTTTTTTTTCCATTTCTAGGTTGCTTTGCTGCTGAAAGAGATATGTGTCACCTATAAAAACTCTGATATCTGGTCACTTTAAAAATCAGGCTTCAGTTTTCTAACTTATTCAAAAATCTCTCCAAAGAAATGTTTCAGTGACTTTTCAATGTCTTTGATAATAACATAAATTTCCTTTGATAAGTTTGCAAGCACATCTGATTACTCCCCCTTGTGGAACATTGAAATTTACTTGCCAAATTTCAATTAAGTCCTTTCAATATTTAGTAGTTGGGATTTCAAACTCAGTGTCCTCATTAAGTAAGTGCAACCAATGATACTCTTCTTCCATAAAGATCAATTCACCTTTCTAGCCACGACAGCTACGAAAACCAAGAATCAAAATGAAATTAACGTAGAACTATGTTGTACCATTTGGATATTGTGCTATTAATGGAATATCAAAAGGTTAAAAAATAAAGCACATTCAATAACATTGCCAACAAAAAGACTTTGCGCTGTTAATACAGAAAATAAAAATATTTCAAGGTATTGTTTATTTCATCTTTAGCCTATTTGTATTTATATATTTTGTATACATATTGTATCAGTAGTGTATGTATATAATTTCATACATACTTTGTATATACAAATATATAATATATAAAATTTATATGTAAGTATATTTATATAATTTATATAAATATATATAATTATATATATATATGTATAATTCCCCTGAAGAAGACTGATTCATAGGAAATAATCAAAACACACCCTTATTTTTGTCTCCTACTGTCCTTTTGAAATAATTCTGTGGAGGAAATCTCTTCTTCTGCCACTGGGTAAAAATTCCAGTAGAGAGGCAGAATACATTCTCTAATTATTCTTATATAACAGAAGTTCTAGGACCACTTTTAGTTGCAAATATTCAGTCTGGACTTAGTATTTAGAAAAGCTTCAGTCCAATTTATGACTCATCAATTTGAACTTTATTGAAACCAGTATGGAACAACCCATCTGCCTTTGAAGCAGGGGAGGTGTTTGATCAGTTTCTTCTGTTTCTCTAGATCCTATTTACCTTTACTCACTAGTGCTGTTTGTGACATTGCCAATGTCTAATGGAGTTTAAAGAGAAGAGAGAGGGACATAGGGAAGTTCTTAATTCCCTTATACTGTAGGAGATGGTTTGCTCTCCCTAGACCTGGTAGCGGTTTACTCCTCACTTATATCTCACTGACATAGTCACATATATCTTGGGATATAACCATATACATATCAAAGATAACTATATTTATATATAGTATATATGTATATATGTGAAATACATATTTATATGTATAACATAAATATATATTAATAATATAATATAAATTATTATATATAAATTGTGGGTTCTTCAGAGTCTGTTCTCCTGGATCCCTTCTGAAGTTCTGTGATCAACATGATGCATTCTGTTTTTCCAGCTGCTGTTACCTCTTCTGTTTCTATTTTTTCTAGCTGCCAACTTCAAAAAAACTCTCTCTTTTGGAGTGTGAAACCCGAAACCAACTTAATTTCCTGGATCCGTGTAAAATAATACCAGGACTGAGTACACTTTACTATCTCTGTGTTAAGTAATGCTGAGAAATAATACTAAGAACAAGCAAAAATAACTCACCAATTTGTTCCACAAAATGTTTTCTACTGCAAGATAAGAATGTGAAAAGAATAGTATACTTATTTTCAATACTAACAGATTGCTCATCAAGGTTCACTTCCAGATCTCACCTCTCTGTGTCTCCTAATCTAAAGATACTCTGTCATAACCTCTACCTAGTCCCCCATAGGAAGATCTATCACCTCAGCAAGATCTATCTTCACATCACTATACCCAGGTTCTAAAATCCTATGCGTATTTTCCCCTGACTTTCTCAGTTCTGAGAAAGTACGAAGGCTCAGTCATGTTCTCCCTTACTGCAGTGAGCGCGATTGATTTAGTTGTGCTCGATCAACATGTTTTCGGTGATGTCTTGAAGTTGATTTTGGTCAGTACCTTTACTTTCCCAAGTGGTTTTCTTGGTTAAAACTCTAGGTGGCTCTCGCTCCCTCTTAACTGAGGAGAAGACTCTGAATTCACAGATTCCATGCAATATTCAGCCAGCTGCAGGCACAGGGTCTGGCTCCCTAGTAGTGAGAGTGAAGGAATGCTGCACACAGTGGGTTTGCATCCACATAGACTTCATCTGCTGAACACCCAACAGCTGTTTCTACAAGCTAAAGTTGTAGCTTCTATCACTGTCTAAAGCTGCAGCTTGTATCTACTATTGTCTCTACACCATTGCCCAAACACTGGGTAAAGTGCTGTTGAATTTGTCACCCCCAGGCATAATTTTGTATCCAAATGTAAAGGTTGTGGGTTCAGTCAGTCTAAAAAGTCTAATAATTTCTTCTCTCAGTCCTTCCCTTCTCCCTTGTCTGAAGCTGCCACCACCATTTAGAAGCCTCCGATGCTGTTTATTCCCAGCTGCTCAACCTCAGAGTGTGTGGGAAAGGCCTGAGAGAGAAAGGTATGTTTTCTCTCCTCTGGAGTCTCTGTGGTGTTGACACAGCAGAGAAAGAAGCGGGAGCAGCCTCGTCTTGCAGAATCACCTTCAATCACTGCTACTGTCTGGGCCGTTACTGCCCGTCTGGCCAGTGTCTCCCGCAGTGGATGGCTTTGCCTCCAGGGGTGGACCAGTGTTTACCTGACTTCTGAGCTCTTTAAGCTGCCTCAAAGAATGAATCTTTTTAGTCTAGAAAATGTGTTTATTTGATAAATATACTATTGTGTATGAGTGCGAAACAATGCAAACTTCGGAGTATCTCATTAGAAGGACTGTATGAATTTATAAAAAATTGAATCTAATCTCAGAAGAGCACATCATCTTCTCAGTCGACAAGGTTGCCCAGCCACAGAGGATCAGAGAATGCCCTTTCCCCTCCCGACTCCTTTTCTCAGAATCCTCTCTCAGGCCTAATTGAGCTGTCATATCCAATTCAGACTGATACAGAGTGAGGGGCGCTGAGAGTCTCTATGTATATAAAGATATAGGAAGAAAATAAGAACCATCACGGGAATGTGTTGGGCTTCTCCCCATGACTGTGATCTTACCCATGTTTGATTCACAAATTTTAATTTATAACAGTTATGATTCTTGCTGTTTTCAAGTAATTCGTTAAATGCCTATTCAATGCAGGCAGATTTTTGTTTTCAGCTGTGGCTTGTAAATGTCTACAAACTGATTCACGCTGGTGGTCGTTACGACACTTTCTGTGAATTGGTGAATAAATATTGTTTTAGAATTTCACAGTAAACAAGAACAACAACAACAAAAAACTCTAGGTGGCTCTACTGTCTCTTACTTTTGATTCATGGGAAACACACATCTCCCTTCAACAAATTCTGGGTGATTCTAATACAGTCACTTCTCCTTTGCTTTCCCACATAATAACTTGCCATTCCATCTCACTTGTCTTTGTGATTTCCTAGTCCATAGTGAGAATACAGTTCTCTGTGACTCTTAAACCTTAAGGAACATATATCATAATCTCAGTGGTTTTATTAAAACCCTTCTCCTTAGGCTTGAGGTGAGATCTGACCGTTCCCACCTATTCACCTTGAGATCAGTGGCGGTGAATAGGTGAGATCACAGCATAACAATAGCTTCTCCAAAGAAATCTCACAAATGTACTCTGACAAATCTGTTCAACTCTTTGATACCTTTAAAGTGTTTCAAGTTTGGAAAAAATTCCAACCTCTCATTTTCTTTGAAAATTTGCATTTTGGTCCAGCAACCTCACTTTGGAATATCATTGTATATTCATTGAATATCATTGAATATTTGGATATCTATTGTATCCTGGCACCTCAGTCAAAACTTCCAATGTGACTGTTGGGTTTTCAATATTCATATTTATTCATTTTATCCTGAAAGCACAGAAAAGGTATTCCAGATCAGAGACAAATTTCCTAATTATAAGTTCATCCTCTGCTCTACCTTGCCTCAGGCTTTACCTCTGGGGTTACACAATAAGAATAAGGCCAACTGTCCTACACAAGTAGCCAAGCATTCCATAGGCAAGGGAGAAGATGATGGGAAAGATATTTCTCTTTGCTTATAAAGAGGAAGAAGCAGCTCTTCCTTACCCCTCTTGAAAGGGTGTTCTTGGAAAATTAATTGGTCTGAATCCTAACTCCAATTCACTGATATGTAAATAAAATGTTTGCAGGAGCCAGAGGGCTACATGTGTCTCAGAATTTGGGACCTAGAGATGTCTGCAAGTTCTCCAGCCTCAATACTCCTGGAAATGTAAATACCCAAAGGCATAGCTATTGCAGTCTTTCCTGCACCTTGGGAACTTAACAAGGGGACCTAGTCAGGTATGCAAACATTTAGCACTCTAAGGGAGTTGAGAGATTTTTATTACCTTTTCAGACCAGATCAATTAACTAGGCAAATGACTACAGATCTAGATCTCATGGTATGTAAAGAGTAAAGTATTTCTGGGGAAAATAAAAGCAAACATTCTCTATCTTTACATCATATACATTTCTGTGTCTCAGAAGGCAGGGGATTCTTGAAGAAGCACGAAGAAATTCAGGGAAGTTTTCTTTTTTAGCAGAGACATTCTGCTACATTCATATTTTGGGAGCACATATATTAAATGTTTGTTTTATTACAAAGCATGTGCTGTTAAAAATAATCTTGTGAACAACTGATCTAGTCCAGTGCTTCTCATACTTTATGCTTAATGCACAGACAGAACCATCTTGAGAATCTTGTGAAAACATATATAAGCAGATTCTGATTACATAGGTGTGGAGTGAGTTCTTAGATTTGTTATTTCTAATAAGCTCCCAGCAGATGCTGATGCTGCTGTTCACACTTAGCATAGCAAGACCCCAGCCACCTCCCTGTCTCCAGAGTTGGAGCAGAACTGTGAACTCTCTGAGCTGGAAAAATTGAAAATTGTACAGCAGCCAGAATGCATCTCTGTGTTGCCTAAGCAAGGAGCAAGAATCTGGGTCAAGTGTTGGACAGAATATTAGCACTTGTTAAAATTGAAATGGAGTGGTGGAGAAGAGACAGGAGGATTCAAAGAATCCTGGTTGAAAAAATTGAGATACAGTAGGCAGGAGATAGGAATCAGTCAGAAGAGCAAAAGAAAATAGTGGAAGGAAGAACACAGACAAAATAAATACAGTCTAGCATTTCCAGCCCGTGTTTCATTGGGTAAATATATTGCCAGATGTCAGCTTTGCTGTGCGCCTAAGCAATGTGATGGTCTCAATTTTTTGATGGTTATTAAAGAACTTGAGAAGGTGGGAGATGGTCTGGTAATTGGGAAGACATGACCCAGCCTAGGCACAGCATAACAATTGTTTTCTTCACTGCTTGTTTCCATATCCAGTGTTGTTATGCCATATTTTGGAAATTTTCCTTGGGAGGTATTCAAACTGATGGTAGAAGTATTGCAGAAGTTTGAAAAAAATAGGATTATAAAAAAATCCAACTTACAAAGAAATATATTTAATTATTCTGTAAGTTTGTTAGAGCTAGAATAATTTCCAGTATTTTCCTTTTCAAAAACTGTTCACCATTTTTTTGTTGGTTTAGATAATACAGAGGTTTGGGGGAGGATACAGATGTCAGCCGTTTTCAGCAACATTTTTTCAGTAAATCTGAAATGTCTATGAGCCGGAGTTTCCATTGCCAGAATCTGCTGTCCAAGCAGGAACTGACCATGTTCTGTCAAAGTCTCCCTCAAGCAACAGTGAAAGTCAGAGCATCCCACCTATATATCATATGACCTGCTTGTAAATAAATGTATTGAGACAAATTGTTACACGAAGCACTTTGCAGGCACTGCAATAATCAGGGGTGACTGAATCAGTGTTTCTGGTCCAAAAAATTGAAAAAGAAAAATTTTAAAAGATTATTTTTTAGTCTATTGACTGAAGTTAAAAAAAAAGGACTTTTACTTCTCAACTTTAAAAATATTTACAATGATTTTATTTGTAAGAGACTGCAGATGGTTTCAGAGGTTTACTCACCTTCTTGAAAGGAGAAATGAATTTGACTTTTGCTAAGCAACATATGCACTTTCCACAAGCCAAGACTACCATTTACTGTCTAAATTGTATGTCCTTTTTACTGTAGACAATAATTTTCCCAGTAGTGTCTTTATATTCTGGTTCATCCTTATTATCATTTCTGTCTCTCCTACTGGGAACAGATTTTAAGTAGTTTCATGATAGGTAAAAAAATAAATGCAAAAGAATCATGAAGATTCTTTAAAAAAATCTTGAACCTTAATAAAATTGTTGAGACATTTGTGTTTCTTTCCCACAACAGCAATACAAATCTTATTTAGTCTAAATTATCTTCACTTTCCTTACCAGTCTCTGAATTGCTTAAACCTGAACAAAAACCTCAAAGCCTTACCCTCTCAGGGTTTTAGAAATTGAGTATCTGACTCTGTTTGGGAAGGATGGGTTTGGCATTGTCTTAGATAATGGTTTTAACCCTCTTCTACATAATGGCACACAAAAGGTTTGAAAGGAGGAAATGAAAGATGAAGCAATCAATAGAATGACTGTCCCCATTAAATCAATTAGAACATTGAACTTTCATTTTTCCTTCATTTGATGATTACAGGCTTTTTACTCATCCTGCCTGTCTGCACTTTTGAAGTACAATCTTGTCACAGAATGATGACTTTTATCATTACCTGAAAAATTATTAAAGATTTAGTGCTTCTCAGCATTATCAAGGATATTCAATCATGCTAATTTGAGGACAGTCCTAGAAAGGGCCCTTTTGGGATAGATGTGCATCTCCAAGTCATTGTAACCAAGACAACAAACATATTTCCAATCTATGCCCATATAATGATCCAGGTTAATAAAAACTGCTGGCTTAGTGAAGTTTCTAGAAGATACTTATTCACTTAACGTTAGGTAAGCCTCAGGCTCTTAGTAATTCTTAGAGTGTTAGGTCTTTAGCTCTCACAAAAGTGTTAATTTCTTCAATATCTCTGGTTCAAAAACAATGAAACCACCTTGGAACTTTGGAATTTTGCTCTACTCTGTTAATATACAGTATCTAGCTTAAGGATTGAGAACATCTGTAAAGTTAAATTGGATGGGTTTGTAAGAAACATATTAGTAATGCTGCCTTTTGATGCTTACAAAAGGCATGCAAAAGAAAGAGATTTCCTGCCCATTTTCAAGAATAGTAATTGAATTGAATTGCCATGGCATGATATTGGAAAATAAAGGCATCTACAAGAAATCATGTTTACCATAATGTGCATCTCCCCAGATCAGCAAATACAGTTATGTTGAATTCCGAGAAGACAAGGCTTACACCCTCCACAATGTGTAGTTCATTCCCCCAAACGTATACATTCTCAATCTGTTCTCTGCCTAACAGTTATAAATATAAAGGGAAATCTGACTAACTTAGCAGATTTTGGTCCTAACTTGCCCTTGAGAGTCACTGATTTGCTTAACTTTAACATAAATCTATGCATTTTAAAACTTTGCCATGAGGTTCATCCTTTCATCATTCAACTTAATACAACAGATTTCATATTCTTGTCAATAAGGTATGAGGTATATATGAAAAGACAGAGCAGGGTAGTATCTATTAAATGACAGATGAGCAATGCTGACTTAGGAATCTATATTTCTTTTGAACCTGTTCTGACTCAGAATTATTATTCTGTAAACTGGAATCTCTCTGTCCTTGCCTGGGTTACCCTAGTATGTTTTTTGTAGTTTCTGGCATCCGTAAGTTCTCTACTGTTCCTAAATGTCATTTAGAGACATGGTGTTAATTTCTTTTCAGCACTTCTCTGTATTCTGTGCAGAACAAGTGCCCCTAATGATTCTGTGAAGAACAAGTGCTCCTAATGATTCACACTCAATGCTATCCTTGACAGCTGGGTCAAATTCTTGAACTACTGAGAATTATCAGTTTTCTGCATGCATAGGTGACTCAAATTCTCCAATAAATAGTTTTCATTGTATAGCCTGACTTGTTGGCAATATACCTTTTTCTTTAGCAACTTCAATAATAGAAACCCACAATGTTTTTAATAAGCCTATGTCAGATGCTTAACAACATTTTGGGTGAAACTAAAATCATTCAAAACCCAAAAGTGGTTTTATGAGAAATGGCCAATTTGAGCATGTGAGCATATTTATGAGAAATAATAAAAGTAATAGCATTTTGGTATAGAATTCTAAATAAAATCCACCATAAGATATTTAAAAGTGTATGTAGGTTTATTTGTTTTGGTTATGGAACATAATGGAGCACAATACGAGAAGCACAGAGATCACAGTTATTTATTATGGTTCAATGGAGAAATATTATTAAAGTAGCAGGGCCACAGCCAGCAGAATTAGCAACAATTGTTTATGATAAGTACCCAATACTGCATTGGAACTCATATGCTTTGGACTGGGACTGTACTGTGAAATTTCAATAATATCAAAGAAGATCACTACTTGACAGGTATTTGTAGTTAAGTGGCACGTTTTCTAGAATTAACTTACTAATAATCTTTATTGGTTAATATATAACTTTGTTATTTGAAAACCCACTGCTTTTTAAAAATTATAGCTACATAAGCTCTTGGGGTTGTGTCAGAGAGACAATTTTGAGTTTAAAAGGTGGATTGATAACTAATGATAACTGACAATCAAGAAGACCTTTTGAATTTCTTTACCCTTAGCACCATGCAAATATTGAGGGATGTAAGATCCATTCTACAACCAAAGATTTCCAACTCTCTTGTATTATCTTCCAATATTAAAAAGGTTTTGAGAGAAGATTCTAAATGAGTGACTCAGTGATTTGTTTTAGTCCTATAAAAAACATGTAATATACATCCCAATTCTTCACTTAATGAGAGAACCACATATTCAAAATATTAAGCCACTTGGATGAATGTAATATTAATGACAAATTTAGATGAGAAAATGGAAGACTAAATTTTTAGTCAGGGTATTATGAGTGTAAGCTGGGATGTAAAGCAATTAAGACTTTAGCTCCTTTTTACTGTCAAAATCAGTCTCCTCCAAGAATACGATCAGAAAGAAACAAAGGGAATTGACTCTATATGACAGTATGTAGTAGGACTCACAAAATGGCAGAAATCAAGTTATATCTTAAGAAGAACTGGGTTGAGCAGGCAAGCCAACAAGGTGGAGGAGGCCAATCAGCATTCAGGATGGCCAAATATTAACAAAGGAATGGTAAGGATTGAATTCTAGACAAGGTAAACAACATGGAAACAGAAATTAATACAGTAAGAACAACATGTCATCATAGAATGATGAGTATTTGAGTCTAGCTGGATTACCAGGTTCTTTCACCAGAGTAGCAGGAAGAAATTCTCTTTTACAACTCTTAAGATATGACTGTCAGCTAAAAGAAGATGGGCACAATTTGTGAGTAATTGATTGTTGTTCCAGCAAACAAGAGGCATTCTCATTAAAGTATTTCAGGAAAGTAAATCTGAATGTATAAAAGTTGAAGAAAAAATGGCAAAGTAAGGGCTCAAAAAAAGCAGTCCCTTCACTGAGGTACCTGTAAGCTGGAAAAAATGCAAAAATTTGGGAGCTCTGAAGTATAATAAAAGACTTACATCAATCGTGAGATTGCTTAATGAATAAACAAAATGTGAAATTTTGGCAAGAAAGTATTGTATTTCTGCTTACCTGCCAACCATCTCCAATTGCCCAGCAGTCCATACAGCTGGCAGTTCATGATCCTGGTGTGGCTTGCTGGTACCAATACAGACCTGTTTTTTGTTTGTTTGTTTGTTTGTTTGTTCTGAGACTGTGTCTGGCTCTGTCACTCAGGCTGGAGTGCAGTAGCATGATCTTGGCTCACTGCAACCTCCGCCTCCCAGACTTTTTGATCCACCATCATTATTTCTGGTTCACCAGCTACACTGAGTCCCTTGTCAGGCCAGCCAGATCCCAGCTCATGCCTGTGCCACATGGAAATTGAGGTTGCTTCAGGAAAATAAAACTTCAGGGCTTACCTCTGTCACATCCATTATAAGGCCAAGTTCCTAAAGTCATTGCTCAAGGTTGGTATGAAAACAGCATCCCAAGAGTGACCTTTTCTTGGCTCTCTCAATGGAAAGTAAAAGCAATCTCCTCCTCCTTCTATACTTTAATGTAATCATTCCTTATCATAAGTATCTCCTTCCTATACCTTGCAGCAACAAGTGAGAAAATTGGTGATTGCTTTCTTCTTTTCCTCTCTCACTTCTTTTTTCCTCCTTTCAAACATTTCCTAGCCAGATACAGGCAGTATTTCCCTATTCTTCCTCTATGCTCTATTTTCCTTGTACCATTGGGAAGTACAAACCTAAAGTCCTACATGGATAGGGTAAGGAATAATATATTCGCTTCACCGGGCCAACACTTCATAGTCTACAGTTTGGAAAATACTTTGAAAGACAATACTAGCTTTGCAAGGCTGCCATCTAGTGGCATAATCCAATTTAGAATATTAATGACTATCACTTAGGTCTTCCATAACCAGTTACAATCACTTCTCAGACAGATGAATGCCCAGGGAAAATTAAGTCAATTGTAGTTTACAGACGAAGGAAAAAAGAGACTAATCTGTTAGTTCAGTGAGAAGTGATTGATAAACACATTTGGATAACAGTGTCAATTTGTGACAGTGAAACAGCAACCAGGAAGAATACTAGTATTTCTGACATTGATTACCCTGATATGTTATATGGGTCTGAGTGTTTGGGTTCAGAATGAGGTTCTCTGATTTGTTCTACCACAAGATAGATATTTGATTGATAACTCTGAGAGGGAAAGTACTATACAAAGGCTCTCAGCCACAGGAAACCTTATCCTTTAGGATGAAAGGACAAAATAGATAGAGATGATATATTTTATAGGTACATTTTTGAATTTATTAAGAATTCCCAACCTATAGTCATCTCCATTTTTCCATTGTGCAGTCTGATTCACTTGCCCTCTAATTCTGTATTGTATCTATCCTAAAACTGTGAGAAAAAAATGCCAGATATAAGATGTGAGCATTTCCATAATCAGAGAAGAGAACTGAAAATCTTAATGTCTATTTAAAATGCTCTAGGGTCTTTAATAGAAATGCTAACATAACACGAAGTATACTATCAAACATATTTGCACACTAAATATTCCCTAATGTTGTACAAATACCAAATCTTACCAGAAACTGATTTATATTCCACATTATTAAAATCTCATTTTTCCCACTTCATTAATTATTTCAAAGGCAATTTTCACAAGCATGTGACTATAAAGTGCTTGTATTTTTATCCTCCTTAAATACGTTCTAAAGTTTAGCACAGGGGGAAGTCCCTCCTCTGTTTGAAATTATATATAGCTGTGCAAAACAAAATAATTTGAATATTTTCAAACAGGACATATTAATTTAATTAAAATAAATTAAATTCCATACTGTAGGATTCCAACCCAATTTGAAACTTGCCATTCGATGATCAAAAATCAATCTTGCTTCAAATAAAACATTAACTTATAGGTTAACAATAGAAAAATCACTTAATACCAGTTGAATGATCAAGTTACATTCAATTGCAAATGAATTGTTTATATATACAAACCATAGAATAGTATTGATTTAGCAAATGTGCTTCACTTCATTCAACTTATTTACATACACATGCACAGAAACAGCCTGTAAAATATTCACTAATACTAAGTATGTATTTAACAAAAATTCTATTAAGTATTATTATTTCTGTAATTCTCATGACCCCTCTAACTGTAGAAATATTTTGAATCTTGCCTTAAATAATGGCAAGTTTGTATTGTTGAATGTTTTCAAGGATTCAAATATCAAAAGGCAAGGAGTACTGTTTTAGGCAGCAATTTCTCGGAAGCATGGTCATACGGTACAGTAGTTATGCAAGTCAATCTGTTGACTCTCCAGTAATCTCATACGCCTACAGTGGCACTCAAACTTTTGATTCTTGGAATCATGCCATGAATAAATTGGTCTATTGAGCAAAATCTATGCAGCCAGACAGATTTACATTTAAATAAAATCTGAAATCAACTTAGTTCACTCAGCATAGCAGTACCTGGTCCTCAGTGGTGTGTCTTCTTGCCTTTGAGTATCAGTCAAGAGTAGCCCCTCTAGAACTAAAAGCAGTGAAATGGCAAACTTGCAAAAACCTGAATTGATTCTAGAAACCTACAGATCAAGAGAAACCTTTAACCATTCCAGAAACCTGAAATGACATCAGAAAGCAACAGATCCAGAGAAGCTTTTAGCCATACCAAAGTTTTACCATAACTGACTAGGAGGGAAAACTCTTATTAATCTGGATATTGCATGTTATCCCCTTGAAACACAATGTTGAGACAGAATCCAGCAATATTGTCTTAGGAGAAAACTTTCCTAAGGCAAAGCACAATGACAACAGATATAGAGTTACTGGTCATTATATTGTATGCTGTGTGGTGAAGTTTTTATGAGGAACATAGGCTTAGAATAATGTATCTTGATGCAGGTAAAAAGACTAATAAGCAATTTGGGAAGCCTAGCAGAGGAAAAGTAGCCATCCAAAACTGGAACTATTAAGTCTCAATATCACAGAAGCAAGATGAGTGTACGGTTTTAAAACATATTTGAAAATTCTTTGACAAGTTTCCTATCAAGAGATGGGAAAAATTTCCCACCCCACTACTTTTTAAATATAGACTGGCCTTAGTGACCAAAGTCTAATAAAAAGATTGCAGCTGAAGTGACATTGTGCAACTTCTGAGGTTAGATTAGAAAAAGTAATACTGCTTCTGACTGGCTCTCTCAGGACATTTGCCTTTGGAACAAAGATGCCATGGTGTAAGGAAGACCTAGCTACATAGAAAGGCCACACGTAGATGATTCTATTGTTAGCCCCTGCTATGACTCCAACCAAAAACTAACATCAACCACCAGACATGGCAGTAAAGAAGGCTTTTAGAAGATTTCAGCTCCAGCCACTTTCTGAGTGCAGCAGCATGAGAGACTTCAACTGAAATCCACCAAGCTGAGCTCAGTCAAACCCCAAAACTATAAAGAGATAATAATTTTAATTGATTGCTATTTTACACCACTAAGTATGGATCAAATTGTTAACCCAGACATGATAATCAAATCAATGGGACATGTGCAAGGGTAGTACCCCTTAGAAGTGGTTTGTGTGAATATTTTTGCTGCTGCTAGCATGTTTCCCTAGTTTCATTGAAAGATTAAGACAATTCTCAAGTCTCTAACAGAGACACTGAAATGTAATTCAAGTAAAACAGTATGAGATTGAAAATAATGGCCATCTGCTTTGTCTACTATTTTCATATTATAAAGTGAAGTGATATGTATAAAATTTAAGAGATGGAAAGCTAAAGAAGAAGAATTGTTTTATTTGTGAAAGTGTAACCTGACCATTTGCCATAAATATTTTAGGCACCTTGACAAGTATAGTCTTTATACCAGTATAAATCAGGTATATTCACATATGATAGCATTATAGAACTAACCACTCAATCATGTTTTGCCTGTTAATTTGTATATTTATACCATGTTGTTCCAAAAGGATTTGAGAAAGCTTTAAAAAATATAGAAGGTTGGTGCCTCATATGGTTTGACTCTGTGTCCCCACTCAAATCTCAACTCAAATTGTAATCCCCATGTGTCGAGGGAGACACCTGGTGGGAGGTGATTGGATCATGGGGACGGTTTCCCCATGCTGTTCTTGTGATAGTGAGAGATCTAATGGCTTAAAAGTGGCAGTTTCCCCTGTGCTCTCTCTCTCTCTCCTGCTGCCTTGTGAAGAAACTACCTGCTTCCCCTTTGCCTTCCGCCATGATTGTAAGTTTCCTGAGGGCTCCCCAGCCATGCGAACTGCCAGCCAATTCAACCTCTTTTGTTTATAAGTTACCCAGTCTCAGATAGTATCTTTAAAGCAGTGTGAAAATGGATTAATACAATGTCGGTATCAAAAAAAAATCAAATGTAACCCATAAATATAAAAACCTATTATGTACCCATAATAATTACAAATAAAATATTTTTAAAGTTTATTTAAATAATATAGAAGGTTAGAAAATAAACCATAAGCTTAAAAAATTGTACCAAGAGAAAACAAAAAATGAAGAATGATGACAAAGTATACCCACGAATTAGGCTAAAATTAATCATAACTCAGTTATGACTTATAGCTTGTGGGAAATACATTTCTAACATTTAATATAAGGTATTAAATTTATACAGTTTCATAATTTAAAAGATTGGCCGAATGAAACAAAATAATTACTCAATAGCACTCAATCCTTGAACTACAAAAGAATTTTCCCCCTTATGGGGAGTGTCAAAAAATAAGACATGCCCTATAATGAACAACATATTTTCAATGATTACATTGACATGTTCCAGAGTACTTTTCTTCCGTTGCTTTCTGTCTTTCTTTTGCTTTTTTCTTAAGGTTTAAATTACATAAGTGATGCCTTTTTATTGAAAAAAATAGAGAATTTTATAAATGAAAACTTAAAAGGAACCTCTTCATCTTTGCCACTACCAACACTTCATTTGAAATGTCTATTTAATCAAACAAGAAATTCTGCACAAATTATTTACTTTCATTGAAATAATGGCCAAAAATTCTGAATTAGCTGAAAACTATAACAGATCTGAGAAACTCAACAAAACCCAAGAAAAAAACCATTAAAGTATATCAACATACATTATAATCACATTGCTCAACACCAACAATAAAAAGACAATCTTAAAAGCAGCCAGAAAAAGAGATCTGTTACATAGAGAGTAATAAACTTAGGGATGACAGCAGATTTGTTATTGAAAACCATACAAACTAAAAAGCACAGAGAAAGAGAAACCATAAACCCAACATTTTATTATGAGCAGAAATACCATTAAAAACAAAGGCAAAATGAAGACTTTTTTTACCATGAAGGATTGAATTGACATATAACAATATATTTATATTTAAAGCATACACTCAATTTTGGCATATGCATGTACTCATGAAATCAACATGATCAAGACAATGAACATAGCCATCACCCTCAAAAGTTTTATCATGCCCCTTTGTAATCTCTCCCTATTCCCATACCCTTTCTTTAGCATTCCCAGACAACCACTCTTTGGTTTTCTGTTAAATAGCTTGCATTTCTTATAATTTTATACAAAGAGCATCACATAAATAGGAAATAATCAGTTTTTTCTGTTTTTTTATTCACTCAGCATAATTATTTTCGATTCATTCATCTTGTTACATATATTAGTAGCTCATCCTTTTTATTATGGAGTAATATTTTGTTGTACAGATATACCAAGATTTGTTTACTCATTCACCTGTTAATGTGCATTTTGGTTGTTTCAAGTTTTTGTCTATTAAAAATAAACCCTTGACCAGGTACAGTGGCACACTTCTGTAATCCCAACACTTTGGGAGGCTGAGGCAGGTGGATTGCTTGAAGCCAGGAGTTCAAGACCAACCTGGGCAACATAGCATGACTGCGTCTCTACAAAAAATAAAAATAAAAAAATTAGCCAGCTGTGGTGGTGCATGCCTGTAGTCCCAGCTACTTAAGAGGCTGAAGCAGGAGGGTCGCTTGAACCCAGGAGCTCGAGGGTGTAGTGAGTTATGATCACACCACTGTACTCCAGCTTGGGCTACAGAGCAAAACCCTTTCTCTAAAAGAAAAAAAAAACCTCTGCAAATGAACATATGCTTTTATTTCTTTTGAATTAATGCCTTAATGTGGAATGTATGGATCACATGGTAGCCCTATGAGGTGGCCTAGGCCTGGTGTCTCCCTCTTTGACCCAGAAATCCCATTACTAGGTTTATACCCAAGAGAATATAAGTCATTCTACCATAAAGACACATGCACATGAATGTTCATTGCCGCACTATTCACAATGACAAAGACATAGAATCAACTTAAATGTCCATCAATGACAGACTAGATAAAGAAAATGTAATATATATACACCATGGAATACTATGCAGCCATAAAATGGAACAAGATGATGTCTTTTGCAGAAACATGGATGGAGCTGGAGGCTACTGTCCTTAGCAAACTAAAGAAGGGACAGAAAAGTAAATACCACATGTTCTCATTTGTAAGTGGGAGCTAAATGTTGAGAACTCATGAACACATTGAAGGGAACAACAGACCCTAGAGTCTACTTGAGTGTGAAGGGTGGGAGGACGGGGAGGAGCAGAAAAAATTAACTACTGTATACTAGGCTTAATATCTGCATAATGAAATAATGTGTACAACAAAGCCCCATAACACGGGTTTACCTATATAACAAGCCTACAGAGGTACCCCTGAACTTAAAAGTTAAAAAAATTAAATAAATGGTACATATGAAAACTCATTTTCCTGTATCTTTTAATAGTATAAAAAATTCAATTTGACTAGCTCCTATTTTTGAGCTATAGAAGCCTTAGAACTTTAAACATTACTACAGAGGGAGACACCAGGCCCAGGCCACTTCACAGGAAATGAGTACTTTTCAAATGCACAAAGGCTGAAATAATCAGCGAAAGACTGGCACTATAAGATATACATACATAAAGTGGTACATTTATAAAATATGTCTGTCAGACTTTCATAATATTGGTTGAAATGGAAATGGACTTGGAGATATTGACTTAAGATTCATCATCATAGACATGGCTGATATCATAGATGGTAGGGAGGCTGTGGAAAATAAAAAAGAGGCACAAAGTGAAAAGCATGGGAAGAACCGATGATGCATGAGAGATTTATTTGATGAGTGCCTAATGTACAAGGTACCATGCAAGGTGTGTAACATACTTTATCTCATTTCCCTTACATTATGCCTATGAAGTAGATATAATTATTCCTATTTTGTAGATGAGAAAACTGGAACTCTGAGAATTTAAGTAAATTTCCTAAGAATACACTGCCAAAAAATGGCAGAAAGAGGATACAAAATGAATGTGCAAAAAACAGTAGCATTTATATATGTTAACAGCAAACAATATAAAAAAAAAGAAATGAAGAAAGCAATGCCATCTAAATAGCTGCAAAAATATAAAGTATTTGGCAACAAATTTAAACAAGAAATGAAAGGTCTCTGCACTGAAAACTATAAAACATCAATGAAAGTATTTGAATAAATTCACAAAGGAAATGGAATATTTCATGCTCATGGATTCAAATAATTAATATTGTTAAATTGTTTATATGATCCAAAGAGATTTACAGATTCAATGCAATCCTTATGCCTGTATCAAAACATCCCATATACCCCATAAATATATACACCTACTATGTACCCAGAAAACTTTAAATTAAAAAAATTTTTAAAAATACTGAGATTCTTCACAGAAATAGAAAAAAAATTCTAAAAAGTATCACAAAAGTCCTCAAATAGTCATACCAAATCTGAGCAAAAAGAACAAAGCAGGAGGCATCACACTATCTGACTTCAAAATATAATACAAAGCCATAGTAACCAAAACAGCACTGTACTGGCATAAAGACAGACATTTAGACCAATGGAACAGAATAGAATACGCAGAAATATATCCATGCATTTATAGCCAACTCATTTTCTACAAAGATGTCAAGAGTGTATATTGGGGAAAGGACAGTCTCTTTAATAAAAACTGGCTAACCATATGTAGAAGAATAAAACTAGACCTCTAGCCCTCACCATATAGAAAAATCAAATCAAAATAGGTTAAAGACTAATCAAATCAAAAAACCTGAAACTATGAAACTACGAAACTACGAGATAAAAACAGGGGAAATGCTCTATCATGTTGGCCTGGACAAAGAGTTTTTGAGCAAAACCTCAAAAGCACAGGCAAAAAATGTAAAAAAAGACAAATGGCATTACATCAAGATAAAAAGCTTTAGCACAGCAAAGGATAAAACAAAGTGAAGAGACAACCCACAGAATGGAAGAAAATATTTGGAAACTATCCATCTGACAAGAGATCAATAGTCAGAATATATTAGGAACTCAATGGTAAGAAAACAAGTAATCCAATTTTAAAATGGGCAAAAGATCTGAATAGACATTTCTCAAAAGAAGACAAACAATGGCCAAAGGGTGTATAAAATAATGCTCACCATCACTAATAATCAGGGAAATGCGAATCAAAACCACAATAAAATATTATCTCACCCTAGTTAAAATGGCTTTTATAAAAAGGGAATTAGTGAGTCTGGCAAAGATGTGGGGAAAGGAGAACCTTCATACACTTTTATGGGAATGTAGATTAGTACAGCCACTATGGAAAACAGTATGGAGGTTTATTTTTAAAAAAGAATCTACCATATCATATGATCCAGCAATCCCATTAGAGCTTATATATCCAAAAGAAAGTAAATCAATATATCAGAGATGTCTGCACTCCCATGTTTATTGCAGCAATATTCACAATAGCCAATATACAGAATCAACCTAAGTGTTTATCAACAGATGAATGGATAAAAAAGTGACATATATACACAATATAATATTATTCATCCATAAAAATGAGATCCTATCATTTGCAGCAACATAGATGGAATTGGGGGTCATTACATTGAGTGAAATAAGCCAGGCACAGAAAGACAAATATCACTTGCTCTCTCTCATATATGGACCCTATAAGAGAGGACTTCATGAAGATAGAGTAGATTGGTGATCACCAGAGGCCAGAAAGATTTGTAAGGAGTAGGAATGAAGAGAAGTTGATTAATAGATGCAAAAATACAGTTAGATAGAAAGGATAATACCTCATGTTCAATAATTCAGTAGGGTGATTTTAATAACAATGTTGTATACTTCAAAATAACTAAAGGAAATTAATTATAATGTTTCTAGCATACAGAAGAGATAAATGTTTAAATTGATAGATATCTCAATTACCCTGATTTGATAATTACACATTATATGAATGTATCAAAATATTGCATGTACCTGGAAAATGTGTAAATCTGTTATGTATAAATACAAATTATTCAAAAATAAATTTAGGAAAAATCTCATTTACAATAACTACAAAAATAATTAGGAATCTATTGAAGGAGGTGAAAGACCACTACAATGAAAACAATAGAACACCGATGAAAGAAATTGAAGAAGGCACAAATAAATGGAATGATATCCCCTGTTCTTAGAATGGAATAATTAGTATTGTTAAAATGTCCATACTACCCAAAAGGATCTACAGACACAGTGCAATCCCTATTACAATTCAAATGACTTTCTTTTACAAAAATAGAAAAAACAATCCTGAAACTCATATAGAACCACAAAAGATCCTGAATAACCAAAGCATTCTTGAGCAAAAAGAACAAGGCTGGAGGCATCACACTTCCTGACTTCAAAATATGCTACCAAGCTATAGTAATCAAATAGTGTTGTACTAGCATAAAAACATATACATAGAACAATGGAATAGAATAGAGAACCCAGAAATAAACACATGCATTTATGGTCAACTGATTTTCAACATAGGTGCCAAAAACACAATGGACAAAGGACTATCCCTTCAATTAGTGGTACTGAAACAACTTAATATCCACAGGCAGAAAAATGAAAGTAGATCGTCATCTCACATCACGTACAAAAATGAAAGATTTAAATATAAGACTTGAAATTATAAAACTACTAGAAGAAAGCATGGGGGAAAAGTTCTGTGACATTGGTCTGGGCAATTGTTTTTTTTTTTAATATGAACCCAGAAGCACAGGCAACAAAAGCAAACATAGACAAATAGGATTACAGCAAACTAAAAAGGTTCCCCATAGCAAAAAAACAAACAAACAAAAACAAAACAAAAAACAGTGAAGAGACAACTTACGGAATGGGAGAAAATATTTTTAAACCATATATCTGATAAAAGACTAATATCCAAAATATATAAGGAATTCAAAAAACATGAAAACAATAAAACAAATAACCCAATTAAAACAATGGTTAAAAGATTTGAATAAGCATTTTTTAAAGGAAGGCACACAAATGGCCAACAGATACATGAAAAAAATCATCAACATCAGTAATCATCAGAGAAATGCAAGTTAATACTACAATGCGATGTCACCTCACACCTGTTAGAATGGCTATCATCAAAACAACAGAAGATAATAAGTGATGGAGAGGATGTGGAGAAAAGGGAATCTTTGCACACTGCTGGTGGGAAGATAAATTAGTACAGTCACTATAGAAGACAGTATGGAGATTCCCCTAATACTAAAAATAGAACTACCATATGATCCAGCAATCCCACCACTGGGTATATATCTAAAGGAAATGAAATAAGTATATTGAAGAGATATCTGCACTTCCATGTTCAGTGCAGCGTTATTCACAATAGCCAAGATAGGGAATCAACCTAAGTGTCCATCAACAAATGAATGGATAGGGAAAAAATTTGTATATGTACACAACGTAATAATATTCAGCCTTCAAAAGGAAGGAAATTCTCTCACTGGCAACATCATGGATGCACCAGGAAGACATTATGTTAAGTGAAATAAACCAAGTACAGAAAGACAAATACTGAATGATCTCACTTATATGTGGAACCTAAAACAGTTGAACTTACAGAAATAAAGACTGTAATGTTGGTTACCAGGGGCTTTGGGAGGGGCAGGGTTGGGCAGATGTTGGCCAAAGGATACAAAGTTTCAGTTAGATGGGAGCAATTAAGTTGAAGAGATGTATTGTGCACCATGGTGACTATAGTTAATAACAATGTATTGTATTCTTGAAAATTACTCAGAGTAGATTTTAAGTGTTCTCATGACAAAACACAAATGATGAGAGGTAATGTGAATGTTAATTAGCCCAATTTTGCCATTACACAGTGTATATATATTTCAAAACAACATGTTATACATGATAGATATATACAAATGTTATTTGTCAATTAAAATAAATAAGAAAAAAAGAATTATACCTTCAAGTTGTTTCGTTAAAGAAAGAAAAAGGAGAAATTCTAGGCGAATAAATGACTAAAATCCTCTATCTTCTTTCAGCCCTATTTCATTGTGGGGGATCTTTCACTCCACCATTATTTTCTCAATACACAGTGGTGAATGACCCACTTGTTCATAGCAGATGGGTAGCCCCTCCTGTTTCCAATCTGTTTTTGGATTTCCCCCATACTGAATAGGTACCAGCTCTACTTTGTTATGATTATTGCTTTTATCTTTACAACTACTCTTATCCTGGCTGACACATAATACATTTTTGTTTCGATGAATTACTCCAGCCTTAAGGGGTCCTGCTACTACTCTGGCAACTCCCTGTTCCTTCCCATCTAATAAACGTTAAGTAGTATTCTTTGATCCCTGTAGCCTCATCTTGGTAATCTCTCTAGCTAGAACATGGAGTCAGGTTAAAAACCAGAGTCTTCTCAGTTCACCTCACGGGAGCAGTTAATAGAAACTGGAAGCACTAACTCAAGCATCAAAGAAATGAAATAACAAGAAAGGATGAATAACAGTTTTTAATAGTGGGAGGCCGCTATCTTCAGTGCATAATGAATGTGCATCAATGTCACTCTAAATTGTGGTTTCTAATGAATTTTAAATGTAATGTGCGATTTTTTAGCTGTTAATCATAAAAATGAAATAATCTAGGTTAGAGTCAAATAATGTGAAGCTTGTTCTGAGATTCCTTCCATAGACGCTCTCCTTCTGTTGACCCACTATCTGCCTCCACCAACTTAAGAACAAGGGTACAAATTAGGCAGCTGTGATCTGTAACTGGCTTGCCAGAACTATGACATACTGTAAGAGAAGAAACGACCCTCTACCTGTCACATTTTTAACCTCTTCCTTACTGAGTCATATTTAATCATATTTCAAAACAGGAATAAGTAAATCACACTACAGATCCCTGTATATGTTTTTTTTTCAATGAATCCATTAACCAGTTCCATTGTAGAGAGATTACATCAATTCAAAAATGTAAATTCCAGCTTTTCAAACTCAGCTCAGTAAAATTCTAAACTTCATTTCTAGATATCTGTTTACATGGGAAATTTATAACTTTCTGGCAGATAACTTGAAACACAGGAATAGCTAAGTGAGAAAGTATTTGAGTGATAGTATAGAGATTATCAATATTTCTGCTAATTGTTCACATTTTGTTTTTTCTCTTCCACATTTTCCCACAGGAAAAATCAGAAAAGAACACTCTCCATCGTCAGAAAGCATGACATTGTTGCCATATATGGAACAATTAAAAGTTATATCTCATCTGGAAGAAATATGACGGAAAAATTAATAAAGGAGGACCAGGTGGTAGAGGATTTAATGAAATGAAGGAATAATGAAAGGGTGTCTTAAACTAAGGCTACTCCATAACTTCGCTTGTATTAATGATAAGATATAGGTAGCCAGGATTTGGTCTGGGAATCTTCTATATTGATGCTATTGGATAAGCTTTAGAAGTAGATGAAATTCATGAGGTGAACTATCATTGCAAACCCTGAATTTTTCGTCTCTATCTCTGCCTAAATTCTGCACAGAATCCACTGTACTGAAAACTTTAGCATGACAGAAGTGACATATTAAAACAAATATTGCTGTCAGAGTGGTCTTCCTAAAATGCAAGTCCGACTACATTACTCTCTTTTATAGAGTCATCATTGCTCTCCTGTATAAGTTCAAATGCCCTGACACGGCTTGCATGGCCATATACTATCTTGCCCCCTCTCTTAAAACTTCCCTGTCCTGGGCCATGCGCGGTGGCTCACGCCTGTAATCCCAACACTTTGGGAGGCTGAGGTGGGCAGATCACAAGGTCAAGGGATCGAGACCATCCTGGCCAACATGGTGAAATCCCGTCTCTACTAAAAATGCAAAAATTACCTGGGTGTGGTGCCATGCAACTGTAGTCCCAGCTACTAGGGAGGCTGAGGCAGGAGAATCGCTTGAACCCGGGAGGCGGAGGTTGCAGTGAGCCAAGATTGTGCCACTGCACTCCAGCCTGGCGACAGAGCGAGACTCTGCCTCAAAAAAGAAAACAAAAAACAAACAACAAACAAACAAAAAAAACTTCCCTGTCCTTTCCTTGTCTTCCTCATTTTTAATTTCTTCTTCTAGGAAAGCTGTCTCTTTGTATAGTATATGTTCACCAATCTGGACAAGCACTCATCCCCTTGATCTGGCTAACACCTTAATATCATTCATATCTCATATCTACTTCCTCTGCACAGCTTTCCCTGATCATGTCCCTCCAACCTAGTGTCCCTGTTATGTGATTTTATAGTACCTTACACTTAACTTTTAGTACTGCACTTACTCTATACCATCATAGTGTATTTATCTGTCTTTCTTACTAAACTACAAATGCATTCTTTGTCATTGTTTCCTTAGCACCTTATACCCTATCTGACACACAGAATGTAATGAATATTTGTTGAATGTTTAATAAAAAAAAAAGAAGCAGATCCTATTGCAGAAATCATCTATGTAATATTTATTAACAGTTTTGTCAGAAATATGACAATAAGAGCATTCTGCATTTTGAGTAATCACATTCATATTGGTAGGAAATATGATCAAAGCTCTTTATTTTTGAGCCAAACCCATTGACTGAGGGGCATATATATTGACTAATAGTAAGATTTTAAAATGAAACCAATCTGGCTTCGTCTTATTTTGTGCAAGTGGAAAACTTCCACAAGAGGAAAGACAGAAGGGAGAAAACAGAAGTAATTGGAAGCTAGTGAAAGATTGGTGGTTGCAGTGGGGGAATGTATGGTGCTTAACATTTGTCATTACTCAGAAATTCATAATTTTGCAATGCAAGTCTCATCCCCATCCTCGTTTCTACAGTTTTGTGTGTTTATGTGAGATGATGCCACAATCCGGCAAGACCAAATCTTCTCTCCTTGACTTAGTGCTGTTTTATTCTGGCTATTTGGAAATATGTTCTTGTTGCTGAATTGATCACAATATGAGTCCTGGAATGCTGATTTTTTTAGCATGCGTTCTTTCAAACTGGCCATTTCTTTGGCAGTCTATTTCAACGCATGCAATAAGAATGAATTGTGTTATCCAAACAGAGGGAAATAAAATCACAGCTGGGTGTTACCTCAGCTGCAGGCATCTAATCAAGAGCACTCCCATATCATCTGGCTGATTGTTCCCTAAATTGCCTGAATGCTGAGAAACTTCTGTCACTAGACATCACTAGAATTGGAATTAGAGGACCTCTGTGACCTCAGAGATATTTAGAAAGTAGTGTCTGCAGGGCCATAGGAAGCCCTTTCCCTGGACTTAAACTTGCTCAGAGTTTGACTCGGTGACATGTTTATCTTTAATCTCTTCCATTAGGAAATAGTGACATTTTCTCCTATGCTACTGCGAAAGCACAGGTTCATTGTATTTTGATTGGCTCCCAATGAAACAGACATATATGTAAACATTGTAGTATGCAGGTGGGTTATGCCGTCTAATCAGAAAGTAGTTTAGTAATAAACCATCTTGGACCTCACTTAGGACTTCAGCGTGCCAAGTGCAGTCAAAACATGAGCGAAAATCTGAGAGTAAGCAGGACAGAAAAAAAGGCAGTCACATCTCTGCAGGGTGGCAAATCCACTCAGATAACTTATTTTCTATGTTCATAATGTCACCCACCCTCACTGTGGCATATCTTGCTCTATAACTTGTTCTTTTGTTCAGAATTTGTGACACTATTGCCCTTCTCCTGTAAGGGGATGTATTTCCCATTAGTCAGACTCCCATTACTCGTAAGACTGGACTTATGGAGGGAAAAATGTCTTGATTTTAACACTTCCACTTTATTCTGTGCAACTACCTTGCCACATTTCATTCATCTGATTAAAGTAAAATTGAGATATTTGGGCAAAAGAGAATCTCCCTGTGCCTCTTTCTAAATTATAAAAGTTTTCGTTTTTGTTTCCAAGTCATTTTCTGTGGAAATCTCTGTCCACAGAGAACTGTGGATTGTGGGGATTTAGAAGAAGGTGAGGGTTTCCAAAGAAACAGAGACTGAGGGCTAGTTCTCTTTGCCTTTATTTACCCAAATAGTTTCTAGACTTCAAACCTACTCTACAGCCTCACTTATTCCCTGGGGCTTATAATAAGAAGAAAGACATGAAGAAGCATTACTTCTTTCCTATCCATTTGGACTTATCTGAAAGAGACCATGCACCCTGTATTATTTAAAATTCGGTATGTTCTCTCTGATTTCTAATCCCCAAGGCCCTCACCTCAAGGGGGAAGACAACTACATCCCAACCCTTTGCTCTACTCCCATGCGTACAGTGTTTCCAATCCCTCACAGGATCCAGTCTAGACTTCCCAAGCTCTTTGAATTATCCAGACCCTAACAACTTTCACTTGCTCAACTCTCCTCTCTTCAGTCTTATGTCCTGTAAAATATTCAATGTTTAATTTGCCATCATTAATGTTCCCCACACATTTTTCATGAAATTAACTCATCTGTAACCATTATTTTCAGCCATTTGCATATCATTCCCTACTGGAAACTTTTTCTTTAGCCAAAACTGCTTCAAACTGCAAGGTGCATTTCAAGATCGACTTTTTATTTTATTGCATAGTTTAATGACTATATGACTATTCTAGTTCCCATGAAGCATTCTTTCTGTGAATTCTATACTGTTCAGCACTTTGTTATTGAATCATCTAATCTTTTATTATTGCCTAAACATTTCACACACACACATACACATGCACACTTAATCTTATCTCCTAAATATAATGTTTTCCACTTATTCATTATTTCAGTAAATATCAAATATTTTCCTTCCATGGGTCAAATGCTGTGCTAAGAACTGTTGATCACATAAAATGTAAAATATGTTGTTCCTGCTTTCAAGGAGATCACAAACTATCAGTAAAGATTAGGCACATGGAAAAATAGCAGGAGGAAGAAAGTGCTGTATCATGATGAGTACGTGGAAAAACATTTATATGTGAGTCTTAGAAACTCAAAGCAATTAACAATGAATACGTTCCTAAAACAAATAAAAGGAAAATGCAAAGAATTGAAGACCTCAGTCAACTGGATGAATATTCACAGCGTTTTCCGATGGATCACTCAACCCTGATCTGTTGGTGTCTTACTTTGCCTAAACCCAAACAGAAGACAGAATGCAAAGGGGCACAATTGATAGAGTCCACTTAAGTCCTTCTTCCAGGGCACAAATACGGTGGCATGATTAGTAAATGTTTTTCTAAAGGAGTTTGCAATCTCAATGCCTATGAGGAAAGTTTAATGCTGATTACAGGGGAGGTGAGAGATTCTTTGGAAAATGGGCTAGAAAACCAGATAAGTAGATTTGAGATTTATTTGGATATGGATAATCCTGAGGGAGTAGAAAACCAAATTTCAACTTGAATAGCAGTAACTTTGGAGATATGTATTACTCAAATGTAGTCCATTCTGTCTTAGGTGCTACAGCAGTTCTGGAAAACAACTTGGAAGGCTGTTGGTAAGCACTGTCTCAAACACTAAAATCAAGCCAAAGCCCAGAGAGCAAGAAAGAAGGCGATAAATGTTGCTTAAAAAATTATATTTCTTGTAGGAAAATAAGTTAGTGAAAGCGATGATTATCATATAATAGTGACGGATACTCTATTTTCCTTTATGTATCCTGCAAGGCATACCCCAATTGAGCAGCTTGCTATTTCCCCAGCAGGCCACATATTTCCATCCTGAAATTAGGAGGGAGGGGCAGAGACTCCCTTATTTATCTTGTGCCACTGTGTTGAATACTCTTCATTTGCCCCACCAGATCTTTTATTTCTTGACCATGTGAGTGGAAAGGGAGATGTCAATCTTACTGCACACCACAGGAGCCCATTGGGAGGCCTCCAAACTCCTGATAGTGAAACGAATGCAGGAGCAGGACTGGGAGGCTCTACAGTGACACAAACATTTGGCAGGAAAGTTGGGACTGCTTTCATGGTGTATAGTCTCCTTTCTTTAGAGACCAGATTCTTTGAGTTCTCAAGTAACTCAAAGAAATTATAATCCCGACTAGGTCAATTCTTTGGAGAAATAATGATAGTCTTAAGAGCTAGCATTCATTGGACGTTTTTCCTATATTTGTATTGAATTATATTGTTTAATCCTCAATATAGCTCATAAAGTACTATTATTAACTTCCTCCTTTCCAAAAAATAGAGTTTAAGTACTTTCTCCATCAAAGTACCTGTGCTATTAATACAGAAAATCTCAAGACTACTAGAGTATTTCAAATTCCGATCGCTGCTGTCACTAATTGAACATCACCTGTTACCAGACCATGATGTGAAAGGCTTTACATAGATAATCTTGAAAAAACTGACACAAAAAATGGTTAAATGTATGGGAGTATGTGTTAAAAATTCCGATAAATCTATATATGTACACTGGAATTGAACAATTAAATGAATGGATGGTGGATAGTGAGAATCAGGTTTCTCACTATTGGAGTCGGAGTTTATAAACAAACAAAGGGAAGAGGCTAGAATGATCCATGTGGTAAGGGATTATAGTTTGTGATGTCAGTATAAATTTACATTTAGCTTATTATAGATACAGATGGCTACATATGCACATATATATACACACACGTGTATACACACACATACATACATATATACACACACACACATATTTATATGTATACACACACAAAAAAAATTATTTGGAATTCTTCTGGATGGGAGATTTGTCTTTTCTCCCCAAATTATTTATGTATTTGGTTAATTATTTATATTAGTATGGACCCTGGGATATTTATTTTATGCTTTGGTTTATGATCCAATTGCCCACGTTGTTCCTCCTTTGGCCATTGTGAGCTCTTTCAGTTAGCGCCTGTGTCCCTCTGACATGCCCCCATTATTGTGGTTGTGTATATGTGTGTGTGTGTGTGTGCGTGCGTGTGCATGCTTGAGTTCTTCCTTGCTTACTAGCACCATGAGATGCTCCAGACTCATCCCATATATTCTCCACTTCAATCCTAATGCCAACCATTTCTCTAAGGAGACTTTGTTCCTTTTATTGAAGTATGGTATTAGAAATCAGGATCTAGGATCTAGGTGTGCTCATTGCTACTGGGGTATAGTTACTTCTATGCTCTCTCAACTGATAGTGCACAGGAAATATATATGTGTATAATAATCATTATATATACACATATCCATATTTCTATATGTAGCCATCTGTATCTATAAGAAGCTAAATGTAAATTTATACTGACATCTGGAACTATAGCTCCTCCCTTTGCTTATTTATAAACTCCCACTCCAATAGTGAGAAACCCGATTCCCACTATCCATCATCCATTCACTTAATTGTTCAATTCCAGTGTACATATATAGCTGTATCAGAATTTTAACACATACACACATACTCCCACACATTTAACCCTTTTTCATATCAGTTATTTATATATGTGTTTGTATATACGTGTGTATATATATATACATATATACTTGTATATACAGATATATACGTATACACTTGTATATACAGATATATATACATATATACTTGTATATACAGGTATATACAGATATATATATACATATATACTTGTATATACAGATATATATACATATATACTTGTATATACAGATATATACATATATACTTGTATATACAGATATATATATACATATATACACATAAATATGTGTGCATATATATATACACACACATATATGTTACACACAAAAAAATTATTTGGAATCCTTCTGCATGGGAGATTTGTCTTTTCTCCCTAAATTATTTATATATTGTACACACACATATATATATGTGTGTGTATATATATGTGTGTATAATGTGCGTGTGTGTCTATATATATATATATATAGACACACACACACATATACATATATACATATATATATTCTGGCCTCAGGGAAGTGAAATATAACTCCCATTCCTTAAGTGTGGTGTGTGCATAGTCACTTCATTGCAAAGAAGACTGCGATGAAAAGATAAGAAAAAGAGTAACTATCTGGTAGAGAAACCTGTTAAAAACTACCTCAGCCAGGTGATTTAAGGTCAACATCAACAGTGATAAGTCATGGTGACTGTATTTGCTTTCTATATGATGTGATAAGAATGGCACTTTACCTCTGTGGTCTTCCAAAATGCACTACTTAAAAACTAAAGAATAGGTTACTTACTTAAAATCACATAATTAGTAAAAAAGCCATATTAGCACATGGTCTTCTGTATCTTTACCTGTGATTGTTTTCATAACTTAAAATAACTGTTTCAATATTATATTTTTCAGAAACTCATTGTATTGTATTTTTAAGAAACTACATTGGTGAATGCCTACATTTAATGCCTTTAATACATTAGTATCTGTCAGATAATCTACTATGGAATTCTATGAATCTCCTAGGGTTGCACATTATTATTTGATTTGTCAACATAATATTTTATCTTTTGACTTAGAGCTGTTACACATGAGGTCATCTGTAAGTTTATTCTACTTCTCTCTCTTTTTATCCCATTTTTGTTAATTGTACTATATCTAATTTCAGAACATATATTTAAATATTATTCTGACATGATTTTTCATACTGTTGTCTTAATTTTATATATATATATATATAATTTATACTTACCAACAGACTTTGCCAAAGTTTTCCTAATCATCTCCAGTTAGCTGAAGTTTATCCTGTAGGTTTTTCCTCAGAAAAGGCACATGGAAATGATATCATCTTAGTTCTTAAAATCTTAAAATTCTTTGTCTATTCTCTTTGGACTTGAAGGACGGCTTGCCTGGATGCAAAAGCATTGGCACAAATTTTCCCTTAGAAATACCTTTAATGTCTTCTGTCATTTAATGATGTTGTTGAAAAAAGATGATGCCAACCCAATTCTTGTTACCTTTGCATTTTACTTAAGTGGTCAAAAAATTCTTTCTTCATTTTTAAAGTTCAATAGTTTTCCCAAGATATGTCTTAACATTTACTGTTCTGGATCATTTCCATCAGGTGCGTACTGTTGCCTTTCAAGTGTATATTTAAATCTTCTTTTACTTTAAGAGCATTTTCTTAAATTATAGTCTTGAACATTTATTTTGTTGCATTGTCTTGATCTGCTTTGAGCTCTCAAATTAGTCACATATTAAACCTTTTTCTGCCTAATTTCTACAGTTTTGTAGGAATTCTGTGCATAGGGTGAGGATAGGGAGTTTATCTCGGGAATCAAGAATATCTCAAACTTGAAAAAATATATAGAAGAGGGGGCAGAGCAAGATGGCCAGACAGAAGGATTCACAGATGATCCCCCCTCCCAGGAACACCAGATTTAACAACTATCTACACAAAAAAAACACTTTCATAAGAACCAAAAATCAGGTGAGCTCTCATAGTACCTGCATTCAAGTTCATATTGCTAAAAGAGGCACTGAAGAGGGCAGGAAACACAGTCTTAAATTGCCAATGCCACCGCTCCCTCATCCACCAGCAGTGGATGTGTAGCATGGAAAAAGAATCTGTGTGACTGGAAAAGGGAGGGGAAGAGCATGCAATTGTGAGACTTTGCAATGAACTCAGTACTTCCCTGTCAGAGCACAAAGCAAAACCATGTTGAACTCAGCTGATACCTGCCCACAGAGGGAGCATTTAGACCAGCCTTAGCCAGAGAGGAATTGCCCATCCCAGCTGTCAGAACATGAGTTCTGGCAAGCCTCGCTACCGTAGGCTAAAGCTCTCAAGCCCTAAGTAAACTTGAAAGGCAGTCTAGGCCACAAGAACTGCAATTCCTACACAAGTCCTAGTACTGAGCTGTGCTTTGGTACCAGTGCTGAATACCCAGCCATACCCAGGTAGTACACCATGGGCCTTAGGTGAGACCCTGAGACAAGCTGGCTTCAAGTGAGAACCAGTGCATTCCCAGCTGTGGTGGCTATGGTGAGAGACTCCTTATTCTTCAGAAAAGAAGAGGGAACAGTAAAGGGATTTGTTTTGCACATTAAGCACTAGCTCAGCGACAGTGGGGTAGAGCACCAAGCTGATTCTTGGGGCCCTCAATTTCAGGCCTTGGATTTTGGACAGCAATTCTGGACCTGTCCTGGGCCGGAAGGGATATCACTACCTGAAAGGTGAGTCCCAGGTCTGGCCGCACTCACCATAAGCTGACTGCATAGCCCTTGATCTTGGGTGAACATCACTGGTCCATGGCAGTACCCTATGTGGGTCTGTGGTGGTGGTAGCCACAGGGTGAGGCCCCTCTGCTTCTGCAAAGTTGAGAAAAAAGTGGGAAGGACTTTGTCTTGTGGTTTGGGTGGCAGCTCAGCTGCAGTAAATAGAACACCAAGTAGATTTGAAAGATTTTTGCCTCCAGGCCCTGGCTCTTAGATGGCATTTCTGGACCAATCTGGGGCCTAGGGGAATGTACCACCTTGGAGAATGACACAAGCCTGGCTGGTTTTACCACCTCCTGATTGTAGAGCCGTAGGAGCATCAGCAAACATAGACGGTAGACAGGTAGTGGCTACAGCATACCTTGGGTAAGAACCAGTGCTGAACTTGCTTCAGGTCTGACCCAGTATAGTCACAGTGGTGGTGTCCACAGGAGTGCTTGTGTCACCCAACCCCACGTTCCAGGCAGCTCAGCAGAAAGAGAGACTCTAAGAGAAAGTAAGGGAAGAGAACAACAATCTCCGCCTGGTAATCCAGAAAATTCTTCCAGGTCTTATCCAACATCACCAACATGGTACCTCCACATGTCTGCACAATCATGGAATTACTTATATTACATTCCTGATGATGCAGATACAACTTGTATCACAACACTCAAGTTCTTTTAAATACCTGGAAAACCTTCTCAAGGAGGATGAGTACAAACAAGCCCAGGCTGTGAAGACTGCAATAAATACCAAATTCTTCAATGCCCAGACACAGACAAACATACCAAGTATCAAGACCATCCAGGAAAGCATGACCTCACCAAATGAACCGGATGAAGCACCAGGGACCATTCCTGGAGAAACAGAGATAGGTGAATTTTCAGACACAGAATTCATAATAGCTGTTTTGGGGAAACTCACACAAATTCAAGATAACACAGAGAAGGAATTCAGAATTCTAACAGACAAATTTAATAAAGAGGTTGAGATGATTTAAAAGAATCAAGTAGAAATTCTGGAGCTGAAAAATACAATTGGCATACTGAAACATCCATCAGAGTCTTTTAATAGTAGAATTGATCAAGAAGAATTAGTGCAAGTAAAGGCAAGCTATTTTAAACCATACACTCTAAGGAGGTTTTTAAAAAGAAATAAAAAACAATGAAGCACTCCCACAGGTTCAAGAAAATAAACACAAAAGGGCAAATCTAAGAGTTATTGGGCTTAAAAAGGAGGTAGAAAAAAAGATAGGGGTAGAAAGTTTACTCAAAAGAATAACAGAGAACTTCCCAAACCTAGAGAAAGATATCAATATCCAAGTACGAGGAAGTTATAGAACACCAAGCAGATTTAACCCAAAGAAGACTAACTGAAGACATTTAATAATCAGTCTCCCAAAGATTAAGGATAAACCATCCTAAAAGCAGGAAGAGAAACGAAACTAATAACATACAATGGAGCACCAATACATCTGGCAGCAGACTTTTCAGTGAAAATGTTACAGGCCAAGAGATAGTGACATGACATATTTAAAGTGCTGAAGGAAAAAATCTTTTACTCTAGAATAGTATATCCAGTGAAAATATCCTTCAAATATGAAGGAAAAGTACTTTCCCAGAAAAACAAAAGCTGAGGGATTTCATCAACACCAGACTTGTTCTACAAGAAATGCTAAAGGGAGTACTTAAGTCAGAAAGAAAAGGATATTAATAAGCAATAAGCAATCACCTGAACGTACAACTCTCACTGGTAATAGTAAGTACACAGAATATTATAACTCTGTAACTGTGGTGTGTAAACTACTCATATCCTAAGTAGAAAGACTAACTGATGAACCAATAAGAAGTAATAACAAAAGCAACTTTTCAAGACTTAGAAAGTACAATAAGATATAAATAAAATGAAAAAGAAGTTACAAAGCAGGGGGACAAATCAAGTTTTTATTCGTTTTCTTTTTGCTTGTTTGTTTTTGCAGACAGTGTTAACTAGTTATCAATTTAAAATAATGGATTATAAGATAGTATTTGCAAGCCTCATCATAATCTCTAACAGGAAAACATACAATGGATACACGAAAAATAAAAAAACAAGAAATTAAATTATATCACAAGAGAAAATCACCTAAAGGAAGACAGGAAGGAGAGAAAGAAGAAAGAAAAGACCACGAAACAACCAGAAAACAAATAACAAAATGACAAGAGTAAGTCTTTATCCACAATAACATTCAATGTAAATATACTAAGCTCTCCAATCGAAAGAATTAAAAAACATGACCCACCTGTTGTGACAAAGAAACACACTTCACCTATAAAGATACATGTAGACTGAAAAATAAGGGGATGGAAAAAGATATTCCATGCCAGTGGAAACAAAAAAAGAGCAGGAGTTGTTATATCAGACAAAATAGATTTCAAGACTGAAACTATAAGAAGAGATAAAGAAGGTCACTCTAAAATGATAAAGGGGTCAATTCAGCAAGAAGATATAACAATTTTAAATAAATATGCACCCAACACCAGAGCACCTACATATATAAACCAATATTATTAGAGCTAAAGAGAGAGAAAGGCTCCAATGCAATCACAGCTGGAGACTTCAACACTCCACTTTCAGCACTGGACAAATCTTCCAAACAGAAAACCAACAAAGAAGCATTGGAGTTAATCTGCACTAAAGACCAAATGGATCTAATAGATATTTACAAAACATTTCATCCAACAACTGCAGAATACGCATTCTTTTCCTTAGGACATAGATTATTCTCACGGATAGACCATACGTTAGGTCACAAAACAAGTCTTAAAACATTCAAAAAAACTGAAATAATATCAAGCACCTTCTATGACTACAATGGAATAAAACTAGAAATGAATAAAAAGAGGAATTCGGGAAACTATATAAAAATGTGGAAATTAAACAATATGCTCCTGAGTGATAAGTAGACCAATGAAGAGAGTAAGAAGGAAATTGAAATATGTCTTGAAACAAATGATAATGGAAACACAGCATACCAAAGCCTATGGGATACAGCAAAAGCAGTACTAAGAGGGACGTTTATAGCTATAAGGGCCTACATCAAAAAATAAGAAAAACATCAAATAAAACATCGAATGATGCATCTTCAAGAACTAGAAAAGCAATGGTAAACCAAACTCAAAATTACGGGAAGAAAAGAAATAATAAAAATCAGAGCAGAAATAAATGGCATCAAAATGAAGAAAACAATACAAAAGATCAATAAAACAAAAGTTTGTATTTTAAAAGTTAAATAAAATTGACAAATATTTAGCCAGACTAAGAAAAAAGAAGACACAAATAAAATCGGAAATGAAAAAGGATACATTACAATTGATACTGCAGAAATTCAAAGGATCATTAAAGGCTATGAGCAACTACATGCCAATAAATTGAAAAACCTAGGAGAAATGGACAAATTCTAGACACATACAACCTACCAAGATTGAATCAAGAAGAAGTCCAAAACCTGAACAGAGTAATAACAAGCAACAATATTGAAGTTGCAATAAAAAGTCATCTGGTAAAGAAAACCCCAGGCCCCAGTGATTTCACTGCTGAATTCTACCCAACATTTAAAGTACTAACCCCAACCCTATTCAAACTATTCTGAAAAATAGTGGAGAAGGGAATACTTTCAGACTCATTCTACAAGGCCAGTATTACCCCGATAGCAAAACCAGACAGATAAATCAAATAAAGAAAACTACAAGCCAATATCTCAGATGAATATTGATGCAAAAATCCTTAACAAACTATTAACAAACCAAATTCAACAATACATTAGAAAGATTATTCATCATGAATGATCCAAGTGGGATTTATCCCTGGGATGCAAGGATGGTTGAATATATGCAAATCAATCAATGTGATACATCATATCAAAAGGATGAAGTATAAAAACCATATGATTATTTTAATTGATGCTGAATACGCATTTGGCAAAATTCAACATCCTTTTATGATTAAAAATAATACCCTCAAAAAACTGGGTATAGAAGGAAAATACCTTGATATCATAAAGGCCATATATGAGAGACCCATAGCTAGTAACATACTAAATGGAGAAAAACTGAAAGCCTTTCCTCTAAGATCTGGAACCCAACAAGGATGGCCGCTGTCACCACTGTTTTTCAACATAGCACTGAAAGTTCTAGCGAGAGCAATCAAGAGAAAGAAATAAAGGGCATCCAATTTGGAAATGCAGAAGTCAAATTATCCTTGTTTGCATATGATATGATCTTATATATGGAAAAATCTAAAGACTCTACTGAAAAACTATTAGAACTGATAAACAAATTCAGAAAAGTTGCAGGATACAAAATCTATATGCAAAAATCAGTAATAATTCTACATGCCAATAGGGACTAATCTGAAAAAGAAATCAAGAAAATAATCCCATTAACAATACCTACAAATAAAATGAAATACCTAGGAATTAACATGACCAAAGACAGTAAAGATCTATACAAGGAAAGCTATAAAACATTGACGCAAAAAAATTTAAGAGCACACAAAACAATGGAAAAATGGACCATGTTTATGGAGTGTAAGAATCACTATTGTTAAAATGTCCATAATTCACAAGGCAATCTGCAGATTCAATAAAATCCATATCAAAATGCCAATGACATTCTTCAAAAGCGGTTGAAAAAACAATCCTAAAATTTATATGGAACTACAAAAGATCCAAAGCTATCCTAACCAAAAAGAACAAAACAGGAGGAATCACATTACCTAACTTGAGCTAATATTACAGAGCCATAGTAACCAAAACAGCATAGAACTGGCATAAAAACACTAGACCAGTGGATCAGAATTGAGAACTCCAAAATGAATCCATGCATCTATAGTAAACTCATTTTTTACAAAGACACCAAGAACATATATTGGGGAAAGGCCATCTCTTCTATAACTGGTGCTGGGAAAACTGGATATTCATATGCAGAAGGATGAAACTGGACCCCTATCTCTCACCATATACAAAAATCAAATAAAAATGGATTAAAGACTTAAATCTAAAACCTCACACTATGAAACGACTAAAAGTAAACATTGGGAAAACTCTCCAGGACATTAGATTGGACAAAGGTTTCTTGAGTAATACCCCACAAGCACAAGCTACCAAAGCAAAAGTGGACAAATGGGATCATGTCCAGTTAAAAAACTTCTGCATAGCAAAGGGAACAATAAACAAAGTGAAGAGACAACCCACAAAATGGGAGAAAATATTTGCAAACTATCCATCTGACAAGGGATTAATAACCAGAATAAAAGAAGATTAAACAACTCTATAGGAAAAAAATCTCATAATCAGATTTTTTTAATGGGCAATGTGTCTGAATAGACAATCCTCCAAAGAAGACATACAAATGGCAATCAGGTACATAAAAAGGGGCTCAACACCATTGATCATCAGATAAATGCAAGTCAAAACTACAGTAAGATATCATCTCACCCCATTTAAAATGGCTGTTATCCAAAAACAGGCAATAATAAAAACTGGAAAGGATGTGGAGAAAAGGGAACCCTCATACACCTTTGGAGGGATTTGTAAATTAATACAGCCACTATGGAGAACAGTATGGAAGTTCCTCAAAAAAACTAAAAGTAGAGTTACGATATGAACCAGCAATCCCACTGCTGGGTATATATCCAAAAGAAAGGAAGTCAGTATATCGAAGAGTTATCTGCACTCTCATGTTTGTTGCACCACTATTCACAATAGCTAAGATTTGGAAGCAATGTAAGGGTCCATCAACAGATGAATACATTTTTAAAATATGGTATATATACACAATGGAGTACTAATCAGCCATAAAGAAGCATTAGATCTTGTCATTTGCAACAACATAAATGGAACTGGAGGATATTATGTTAAGTGAAATATGCCAGGCACAGAAAGACAAATATTACATGTTCCAACTCATTTGTGGGAGCTAAAAAATAAAACAATTGAACTCTTGGACATAGAGAAAAGAAGGATTGTTACTAGAGGCTGGGAAGGGCTGTAGGGGGATGGGGAGGATGTGGGGATGGTTAATGGGTACAAAAAAATAGTTAGAAAAACTGATTAAGACCTAGTATTTGCCAGCACAACAGATTGACTATAGTCAAAAAATAATTTAATTATACATTTTAAAATAACTAAAAGCATATAATTGGATTGCTTGCAACACAAAGAATAAATGCTTGAGGGGATTGATACCCCATTCTTCATAATGTGCTTATTTCACATTGCAGGCCTGTATGAAAACATTGCACGTATGCCATAAATGTATACACCTACTATGTACCCACAAAAAATTTAAAAATTTAAAAATAATAAATAAAATGGGAGATTGACATTATGAAAAAATATAAAAGACATAGAAACATAGAATCCACATAAATGGCTTAAAAATGAAAATATTAACATCTCTACAGAAGCAGAGACCATTTTTTACAAAATTTAACACAACTTTATAATAAAAACTTTGTAAATTAGGAATATATAGAATTTCCCTAACCTAAAGAAAACTTCTATATAATTCCTACAATAAATATCTTTCAGGAGTATTCCTTTTATTTGTTAGTATAGAAATTGTTTAATGATTTTTAAGAGAAATATTATAAATTTTGGAAAACAGTATAATGAGCTTCAGTTGTTACAGCTATTCACCCAGCTGCTTCGTTAACACCCTGATACAGTTTGGCTGTGTCCTCACCCAGAATTTCATCTTGAATTGTAATCCCCACATGTCAAGGACAGAACCAGGTGGAAGTAATCCGATCATGGGGGCAGTTTCCCCCATGCTGTTCTCATGATAATGAGTGAGTCACCTGAGATCTGATGGTTTTATAAGCGTCTGACATTTCCCCTGCTTGCACTCACTCTGTCCTGCCACCCTCTGAAGAAGAAAGTGCCTGTTTATCCTTTGCCTTCTGCCATGATTGTAAGTTTCCTGAGGCCACCCAAACCATGTGGAACTGTGAGTCAATTAAAATTCTTTCCTCTATAAATTACCAAGTGTCAGGTATTTCTTCATAGCAGTGTGAGAATGAACGGACTAATACACACCCAATCCCCTTGCACCCTTTGAATTACATTGAAGTAGATCCTTGTCATCATATTTTTCATCTGCAGATATTTCTGAATGTATCGCTCAACAAAAAGATACATTTCAAGAATCTTTGAAAACAAAGAATATCATTATCAATAATAAACAGTAAGTATAATATTTTAATATCATTCAATATCTAGTCAATGTTTAAACTTCCTCAGTTATTTATAAATGTTTTGTTAAAGTTTGTTTGAATTATATTTCCAAAAATGCCCGTACATAGCAAGTTTATATTTTTGACTTTCTGTTTATCAAAGAATGCCACTATTATTTTCTGCTATTTATTTTTGTGGAAACAAAACAAAACAAAACACTGAATTGGTTGTTTTGTAGTATTTCACTCAATCTGGATTTGACTAATTGAATCCCTCTTATTTAGTTGAACATGCTCCGCACTCTCTTGTGTTTTATGTAAATTGTTGATTATATATATATCCTGATTTGCATTTTAGCAAAACAGCTTCATAAATGGTATTGCACCCTTTTGCTAGAAGACCCAAAATACCTGGTGCACTCTCTGTTATGATGACAACCACTGATAGGCATTGTTTTTTCCAATTATAGTTACAAAAAGATGGTATTCTAGTTTTATTATTATTTCTTCACTTACTAGCTAGAATGCTTCTATAAAGAAACACCTTAAGATAACATTTGTGCTGGAAAGGTAAGAAAAACACTATTTTATTTTCAAATAAATGAATGAATTTGTTTTTTTTCATCCCCCCAAGTTGACCAATGAATGTGATGGGGTGTGTGTTTGTGTCTGTGTGTGTGTGTGTGTGTGTGTGTGTGTGTGTACGGGTGTATATGTTATGAAGTACTTATGAGTGTAAACATATTTTAAAACATATTTATGCTTTCCATTTGTTACATTTATTGTTATTCATTCTCGAAATATCCCATTTGAGGGAAGATGCAATTCTTCTCTAGTTGATTTGATAAGATTCAAATATTATTTAATAACTTTTTTGTTTACCAGTGTGACCAGATGTTCTAGGCTTATCTACATTTTTATCCCCGTATGTATAATCTTCAATTTCCACAACGAGAACTAATTTTATTTTTGAATCTCTTTTTTTACCCATGTTTCTGTAGATATTGCTTTTTATTTATTTCCCCTGTATCCCTTAGTGTGCTTTCTATTTTCAGGCCATCACTTCCTGTTTTCTGGTCATCTTTTCTTGAGTTCTTAGATGTATGCTTTGTAGTATTCCTGCATAACTATCATTGCTCTTTCAAGGATTTGATTTTGTAAGTTTTCTGTTTGTTGTTTTAATTCTTATTATAATATTAAGTTATAATTTTCATCTGCTTTGTGGAAGCCATTTCCAGATAGGTTTTATTCCCTTTGCGTAGAAATATATGTTGCTGTTGTTCATTGTTTATCTTATAGTATTCTTGTGTGTAGGCAAAGCTTCCTCATTTCTTGTTACCTGTATTTAAATGGGATGGATTTTTCTAGACTTCTAATAGGAGGATGGGATGGAAGATACAGGGTATGCTAGGGTAGTATTCCAAGCGTCACAGCTTCCAGCTCCCTCCTCTGTCCCTACAGTGAATATCTTAAGGTATTGTCCTTTCTGTAGCCAATTTTGCTCTGGCTCTTAGAGCACAGCCTGGTTCAGGTGAACTTCCTTTGCCATCCTGGATCTCTGAGTTCCCATCGCAGCCCTTGCTTACACCACAATGCATTCTTAGAAACTGTTTTTACTGGAACATTTTGCTACCTGCCACCTGTGGGCCCCTGAGCACTTTCTGAGCCTTAGTTCTCTATTCCTTCTCCGGTGATCTTGAGGTGTTCAATCTCAGTTATGCTCACACTGGTTCCCTCTCAGTGAGATGTTCTCATTTGGGAGGCAACTATTGGCTGGAGATGTATGGACATGCCAGCCCTTAGAACTCCTCTGCCCACCTTGTTCTTCCCCATAGTCCCCTCACAATGTCATGCTTCCCATGTAGCTTCACCTTTGATGGAATGTATATACAACTGGGAATCTGTTGATTTTTTGAGTCTCCTAGTTTTAATGAAAATATAATTTGAAGTTGTGACTTGTAAAATTTCTCCTTGTTTTCTCCGTATGAATTGTAGGAGAAAGAAGATATTTCAAAATTAGTTGCTTGATTATAAAACTGTTGGCTATAAGCTGCTTGCTTATAAAGTTTAATTTCAAAAACTTTTATAAATAGAAGAGTATGTATCATCTGCTAAGGGTTGTCAAGGACCAGTCTCAGTGCATGTACTGTGAATATAATGACTCAGTACAGCAAACCTGAGGGCTAATTACTGCCCCCAGGAAGCATGCTGGTTGGGTATTCAAGTCTGCACTGTAAGCAGGTGCAGCCAGGCTGGGGCTCCAGGAAAGGCTCAGACAGGGGGATTTCAGATAGACTGGCCCCATTCCACAGCCAAGAGCATGCTGCTCTGTCCAGGTCTGACAGTCACCAAAGGCCAATGCCACCTAGAGGAGCATGGCAAGCCTTAGGGGACGGGCACCTGTGGCTGTGGTCCACTGCAGCCATTCCTGCACCAAGCCCTCTGGACTCCACAAAGCCTGGAGTCTTGCCCATGCCACCACTCTAAACAGTTCTCCCTGCCAGCTAACATGTCCATGGGGGATCATGTGATCTCCTGCAGCTAGGATTCTGGAGGCAGTGAAGCTTCAGCAGCAGCTGCCTCAGGAAACAGGGAGGAGGTCATGGCCCCTCCTCCTGGCAGGTCTGTGTGCCACAGGCACCATATCAGGCAGGTGTACCATGGGAGGCTGGCATGTACCCCGCCACTTCTACCCCTGGCAGGTCACGTAGACCAGACTTTGGGGCTCTCCACACCTCCCCAGAGTGTCCCTCAGCCCCTTAGGTGTTCTGCAGCACTGCCAGCCCTAAATACCTCTCTAGTGCCTGCCTTGGTTTTTTTTTTTTCCCCCTGTGTATGCATCACACTTTACCGTTTCTTTGCATGTGTCGTATTTTTTTTGTTGAGAATTTGACATTTTAGATATTTTATTATTGCAACTTTGGGTACTGACCCACTCCAGAAGTGGCTGTGATCTTTGCTGGTTTTTCACTTGCTAGTTTGTTTAATGTCTTGGGTGAACTATTCCTGTAAGTCTATTTCCCACTCAGCGTGTAGCCTCTGAGTTATTTTTCTCTCTATTTTTGTCTTTCAACCTGACTATCTGGGGGGTCACCCCTGTGTAATTATAAGGCACTTACTTCACAAAGATTACACTTAAGCCCCATTTCACTAGATACATGTTTACTCTCTACCATGAGATGTTTGTGTGGCTTGAAGGTTACTATCTTAGTTCAAGGAGTTTACGGTTTTATGCCCCATTCATCCTGGCACTAGTAGTTTGGTGGTTCCCTCTAGTGGTAACTCTGTATAGAGTGCAGCCTTGGGCATATACTCAGTCTTCCATACAATCATGGATGACCGTGATATTATTTTTAAGCCCGTATTTTTAGGAGTCACCCCTGAATTAGAGTAGCTGATTGTTCAGTCAGTGTCTTTTCAAAGGTTTTATTTAAGCACCTTGTGCCAAAAAGACTTCTTCCCTGCATAAATGGGTCTGTTTATGGCTCTGCCCCATGTCTTTCTCTGATTGCTTCTGAGTGGGTGTAGCATAGTGTATATCCACAGGCTTCACAAACAGGGTTGACTGTGATCCTAGGAAGACTCTACATTGGCTATCTCTTTCCCTGGTAATCACTATTAAATTCCTGGCTGTTCTGTTGTTTTGCTTATATCAGAAATACCACCTATAGTTCACCAAGGTCTTCACTGTTTTCAACAACACACTTAGGCATGACTTCTCCACTCACTGTTCCAAATAATGTCCACTCCCTCATGCACAACTGAGGAGCTATTTACTCTTAAAGCTTGACTTTACTCCTGGACAGAACCCTTGTGTCTCTGCACTGAAGCTGCTGGTGGGAACCCACTTTTCCAGAGTAACACCCCTATTCTAAGAATGGGCATTGCGGACTGGAATATCAGCCCCAGTCTTGTCAGCTTGCCCCTCCAGACATGGAACCTCCACTCTACCAGCAAGGTAGTAGCTAGACAGTTGGGGCCAGTATCCTTTGCCTGCAGTACCTAAGGTAGACCTTTAACCCTATGAGTGGAGATAGGGTGTGAGAAGAGAGACCAGTTCTTCTGCACACCTAGAATAAGGCTTCCACACCTCAGAAGTAAGAGGAATGAGACACAGCAGCAGCCTTCACATCCTCGGACGAAAATATATCCCCAGGCAGCTGGGTGAAAGGGATCTACCATATTCTTTTTTGCACATGCCTGGGGTAGAACTTTTGGAACAAATAACTGGGAATGGATGGATAACGGACCAAGTTGTGGCTCAAATGCCTCACACTCTCGGTGTTCTGACCAAAACTTAGTAAATTCTCTTTAACAAATGTGTCTCCTAATGCTCTGTGGTTTTAGGAATATCTCCAGAGACTTCAAAATATTTTTTTCTTTTATAATTTTCACTGGTTTAATTGCTTTACTAGGGAGGGAGTCTAACATGTTCCTTATTCCATCATTTCAGAAGCTCCATCTTCAGTATTTATTTTGTATTTTTTATGCCCATAGTTTCTAGCCCAGTATCTTCGTGCTTGATGTTCAGTATCTCCTCATTTGTTATTGCTAAAAGAATGAATGAATGAAGTTCCCAGAAAAATGTCTGGCAAGCTCTCCAGTATGGTGTTACTGTGTCCTGCACCGTTACTCCTCCCCATGACTTGACTCAAATTTGGGAAGATGGTCTTAGTCCTTACTTTCTCCCACATCAATGGGAGCACTGTTTCTTTCTAGCAGATAGAAGATAGGCTTTATGCATCCTCCCTTCTTTATGCAACATTGTATATTCAGTGTCTGGGGACATTTAAAATGGTCTAAAAATTTATTTCAAAAATCTACAGGCAAATCAGGTTTTAGTAATCTATCATGCCACCCCAAAAGTTTTAATGTGGGTATAAAGATTTATTGTGGCACTGGACCATACATCTAGTGATTTCCGATCTGTATTACTTTATAGTAAAACAAAACAAAATCAAATTATTTTCTCCATAATAGCCGTAACATTTTTTGAAGAATGCAACTGGTGTCTCTTAGAATCATCTTTACTCTTGGCTTTAAAAATATCGAAGAATACTACTGGCATCCTTAAGTCATTGATCTGGGTTTATGCTCTCAGCCTATACCTAGATTGAATACAGTGAACTGGTTTCTGATCAATACCGTCGGAATCTACCCTCTTGTGAACTGGACGTTACTTCTTTTATGCAGCCAAAGATGGCAGCAGATGGGCTGTGGTATTAAGTATTGCCAGATGTTTTGTGGCTTATGTTCTGAGAGTCATCACTGCAATATACACATTTCTAAATAAAAATGCATCTATAAGAGGCTGAGCTGCAGTTCTAATAGGGCACAGTTCCCATATGCCCTTAGAGCTCTCTATTTTTGCCCAATATCATGGTCAATTGTGAAAAGTGAGTGCCTGGTATATGTTCTGGGTCTGAGAAAATACCTTCGCTTTCTCTTGTATTGAACAGTGATTATTTCTTACCTTATAACTTCTAAAATTTTCTCTTTTTATTTCCCCTTATCCACAGAATCTCAGTTGAATTCTATTTTATATAAGCTAATATGCTTCTTTTTATATCTGTTATTTTATATTCCTCTAAGGGTGTCTGAAAGGGCTCTTAGGACATATGCACTTGGAAAAAATACTTACTTATTTTTTAGCTAACAATTTCCCTAGCTTTATCCAAAGTGAAAACACGTGGGAAACTTACTGATTTCACAGGATTATACATTGCATAAATGTTGATACAAGGAAACTGAGACAGAGAGGGGAGCATTTTAGTTAACTAGTGATGATATGGGCCTTGCCAAATAATTGTCAGGGAGTCCACATTTAAACTCACTAAATAAAATAATGAACACATGGGAGGGGTGGAGTGCCAGCAGCTAACTGTTTATTTCCACTGGGCGTTCATCCGTTTGTCTCTCAGAGGATTCATAACTACCAACAATTTGTTATTTCTCATTTTGTTGACCTGGAAAATATTATTTTTGATACCAGCATCAAAGAGAACAACTGTTTATGTAATCATAGACTTTTGCTTCAGAAGCATGCATGGTTTTTTTTAACTTTATTCCAGGGGTGAAAATAATATTTGTAGTGAGCAATTTGACTACTAAGCTATTAATCAAATGAGAAGGATTCAGAAGAACTGATTTTAATTCTGGTCTACCACCAACATACTGTGAATGAGTTTCAATGGCTGAATACCTGAATGCTTTCAAATACAGAATGGCAATGTCAAAGTCTGGTTTTCCTGCCTCCCAACTTTTCTGATTGCAAATGAAATGTGAATTTGTTATGATATGTGAATATTTTCAAAAAGAACTTCTTCATGAGGACTTAAAATATACAAAGCAAGCAGTAAAAACAATAAAAAATATATTTTCAACAGAATATAACACAAATATAAATACTAAGTTCTTCATTTAAGCCAAAATGTGGATAAAATGGCTCCTTTTGTTATTAACAAAGTGGGCCTAGAATACATGCAATCTCCAATTTGTACCGTCTACACACATTGTTATTTAAGGAATTTTATTTTGTACCGTGTACAACCACATTCGTTTAAGTGTGTGTGTGTGTATATATTTAAATGTAAGTATACATATAAAGATACACACAATTAAATATAAGCATGTATACATACACACTTAAATATAAGTATACATATGTATATATGTGATCATACATATATGTGTATATACATATATATATAGAGAGAGAGAGAGGCTCATGATTCTACAGGCTGTACAAGCATGGTGCTGACATCTTCTAGGGAGGCCTCAGGGGGCTTTTACTCATAACAGAAGGTAAAGCAGGAGCAGGCATATCAGATGGCGACAGATGGAGCAAGAGGAATGATGGAGGGAAGATGCCACATGCTTTTAAACAACCATATATGGTGAGAACTCATGATCTTGAGAACCAAGCCATAAGGGATCTTCTGCCATGACCCAAACACTTCCCACCAGGCCCCACCTCCAACATTGGAGATTACAATTCAACATGAGATTTAGAGGGGACAAAATTCTAACTATATTAATTATATTTAATATAAAAATAATACATAAATATTATATATAATTAAAAGTGCTTTTAAACATTTTCTTGGAAAAACTCTCAAAATCTAAAACTCAGTACTTCATTAATGTAGAATAATTCAATATTTATTTTTGTCAGAAATAACAAGAACATATTAGGAATTGGTGTGTGTGCATGTGTGTGTGTGTGTGTGTGTGTGTGTAATTAAATAATTTTATTCCTCACAAATAATGGTATACTTGGAATTATTTGAGATGTGTCCAGTCTGGGATTATTTGGAAAGTAATAGCTGTTTAGACACATAACACTTTCTGTGATAGTAACATTTTTATAAGGGCATAAGTATAGTCTTTCCTAACATAAAACTACACAAAATTCAGCAATTTTAATAAGCCAACTTAAATTATACATTTTATCTCTCTTAACTATAAACGTGGCAATTTCAAAGTGATGTATGAAAACAAAACACTATAAATACTTGCAGAAGGTATGCTTTATCTCCTAACTACATTCCACTCCTTTTGCTAGAAAGCAGGATGGTAGTTGTCTTAGCACTGCCAAAGGAATTCAGAGTGTAGACAGTGCGTGGTTTCAATAATACCATAAAATAGGCTGGATAATTTGTTTGGATAATAATACATTTGAATCTTTACTTTTTACTCAGTACCAAAGATGAGACTCATTTTTTTAAGGTCAATGAAATATGCAATTAAAAGTTACTTTCACATACCTTCCGTCCATGGGTGTCAGTGCAAATTCTCTGGGTTCACTTCTCCATAGATCTGTATAGAATCATACAAAATCATTCATGCAAACTGACCTGAAATAGCTTTGAAGTATTGAAAATTCCATTTTACAAGTTCTTCTGATCAGTAACAAAGTGGTACATCTTCATCTTGATAAAAGCCCCAAAGTATTTTCATTCATTGAAGTGCCTGATTTTGTGGGTTTTGAGAGTAGGAAGGAGTAATGGGGAGAGCAGGTCATTAAAAAAAAAAAAAAAACAGAGTGCAATCAGCACCAGGAAGGTGGCAGTATGCTGCTTTAAAAGAATTAAACAAATTGACCCTCTTCTGAATATTTCACTCTGTCTTTGACTAACACTTATTCATTACAATAGCCATTATGCATAAATCAACAGGCCTGGAGAGAGTGGGACACAAAAATAATTACATTTTGGTTTATTTCACTTAACATAATGTCCTCCAGTTTCATCCATGCTATCACAAATAATAGTATCTCCTTTTTTTTAAGGCTGAATAGTATTCCATGTGTATATACACCACTTTTTTTAATCCATTCATCCAACTAGGGGCACTTATGTTGGTGCCATATCTTGGCTATTATGAATAGTGCTGCAATAAATATGGGATTGCAGCACAAAAAATGATAACTATGTGATATAATACATTTGTTAATTAGCTAGATTTAACTATTTCAAAATGTATATTATATATAATTTAAAGCATCATGGTGTAGATGATAAATTTATACAATTTTATCCATCGATCTAAAAAATCAAATTTTGTTAGCCGGGTGTGGTGGCAGGCACCTGTAGTCCCAGCTACTCGGGAGGCTGAGGCAGGAGAATCGCTTGAACCCGGGAGGCAGAGGTTGCAGTGAGCCAAGATTGTGCTGCCATCCACCTAAAATGTGTCTTGTTCCTCCTTGCCTTCCACCATGATTGTGATGCCTCCCCAGCCATGTGGAACTGTAAGTCCATTAAACCTCTTTCTTTTGTAAATTGCCCAGCCTCAGGTATGTCTTTATCAGCAGTGTGAAAACGGATTCATACAGTAAATGGGTACCAGTAGAGTGGAGTGCTGCTGAAAAGATACCCAAAAATGTGAAAGTGATTTTGGAACTGGGTAACAGGCAGAGGTTGGAACAGTTTAAACAGCTCTGAAAAAAAAAAAAAAAAAAAAACAACAACAACAACAGAAAAAATGTGGGAAAGTTTGGAACTTCCTAGAGACTTGTTGATTGGCTTTGACCAAAATGCTGATAATAATATGGACAACGAAATCCCAGCTGAGGTGGTCTCAGATGGAGATGAGGAACTTGTTGGGAACTGGAGCAAAGGTGACTCTTGTTATGTTTTGTCAAAGAGACTAGTGGCATTGTGCCCCACCCTAGAGATTTGTGGAACTTTGAAATTCAGAGAGATGATTTACAGTATCTGGTGAAGAAAATTTCTAAGCAGCAAGGCATTCAAGAGGTGACTTGGGTGCTGTTAAAGGCATTCAGTTTTAAAAGGGAAACAGAGCATAAAAGTTCAGAAAATCTGCAGCCCGACAATGCAATAGAAAAGAAAATCCCATTTTCTGAGGAGAAATTCAAACTGGCTGCAGAAATTTGCATAAGTAATGAAGAGCCTAATGTTAATCACCAAGACAATGGGGAAAGTGTCACCAGGGCATGTCAGAGACCTTTGCAGCAGCCCCTTCCATCACAGGCCCAGAGGTTTAGGAGGAAAAAATGGGTTCGTGGGCCGGGCCCAGGGTCCCTCTGCTGTGTGCAGTCTAGGGACTTGGTGCCCTGTGTCCCAGCTGCTCCAGCTGTGACTATAAGGGGTCAACATACAGCTCAGGCTATTGCTTCAGAGGGTGGAATCCCCAGGCCTTGGCAGCTTCCATGTGGTATTGAGCCTGTGGGTGCACAGAAGTCAAGAATTGAGATTTGGGAACCTCCGCCTGGATTTCAGAAGATGTATGGAAATGCCTGGATGCCCAGGTAAAAGTTTGCTGCAGGGACAGGGCCCTCATAGAGAACTTCTGCTAGGGCAGAGTGGAAGGGAAATTTGGGGTACAAGACCCCACACAGAGTCCCTACTGGGGTACTGCCTAGTGGAGCTGTGAGAAGAGGGCCACCACCCTCCAGACCCCAAAATGACAGATCCACAAACAGCTTGCACTGTGCACCTGGAAAAGCCACACTCAATGCCAGCCCAAGAAGGCAGTTGGGAGGGAGGCTATACCCTGCAAAGCCACAGGAGTCAAGCTGCCCAAGACCATGGGAATCCACCTCTTGCATCAGTGTGACCTGGATGTGAGACATGGAGTCAAAGGAGATCATTTTGGAACTTTAATATTTGACTGCCCCAGTAGATTCTGGACTTGCATGGGGCCTGTACCCGCTTTGTTCAGGCTCATAGGCAGAAGGGACTTGCTTTGTCTCAGATGAGACTTTGGACTGTGGACTTTTGAGTTAAAGCTGAAATGAGTTAAGATTTTGGAGGACTGTTGGGATACCGTGATTGGTTTCGAAATGTAAGGACATGAGATTTGGGAGCGGCCAGGGGCAGAATGATATGGTTTGGCTGTGTCTGTCCCCACCCAAATCTCATCTTAAAATCCCACATGTCATGGGAGGGACCCAGGCAGGCCTTTCCCATGCTGTTCTCATGATAGTGAATAAGTCTTACGAGACCTGATGATTTTATAAAAAGGAATTTCCCTGCACACACTCTCTCTTTGCCTGCCACCATCCACCTAAGATGTGACTTGCTCCTCCTTGCCTTGCTCCTCTCTGCCTTCTGCCATGATTGTTACGCGGCTCCAGCCATGTGGAACTGTAAGTCCATTAAACCTTTCTTTTGTAAATTGCCCAGTCTCGGGTATGTCTTTATCAGCAGCATGAAAATGGACTAATACAGTGACCATGTAATTTGTCTTCCCAAATGGGACACATTTGAAAGTAAAAGATAGTACTATGAACAATTATACAGGGGCAATAGGCATAAACCAGGACTGTCCCACAAAAACACTACATATGTCTTTGTTTAGCAGCTTCTGATAAAGATTACTGGTTACAGAGGAAATCAGTGACATTCAGATACAAGGAGAAATGCTACTAGTCTTGCAATACTTGCATGTAAATTAGGGAAAAAATGAGTTCTTTTCTCCTGGTAGATGTATACAGCTCAATACCAGGGTATATGAATTTGGTTACTTTGTGCAGTAAGTGGTCTTCACAATCATATGCAATAGCCTTATATATGGATTTGTTTTAATGAAATCAAGGCAGAAAAAGTGTTTTTGAAGAAGTTTGAATTTGAGGAAAGAGGGCTTGAATTTGAATCACTGACAAATAATAACGGATACAAGAAGTGTGGCTGAAATAGCTGATTGTAAATTTCCAAGTGGAGTTTGGCATGAAGTTCAAGTACGATAGAATTGTATTCATTATCATTAGGCACCAATACTTTTAGAACCATACATTTTCAGGCTTTCGGCTGGTTTTTTCTTTCTCCCTTATCTCAGTTACTCAACTTTTCTTAGTATACCATGTAGGGATTTCACCTTGGTATAATCTAGACTATCTTTCTGATAGAAGGCTAACACCTATAAAGTATTATTTGGAACAAGAATATTTAATGTACAAATTATAAACTATATTTTACTAAGCCACTATTGCCCTGTTGGTTTCTTGGTAAATCACTCCATATTTTAGAATTATAGCAAGGGCATAGTCTCTTAGTCTAAGACATTTGAACACAAAATATTCTTAAGCTGTGAGTACTGTTTTTTTTCCACTATTTCAAAAAAAATACAGATAACTATCAAAAACTTCTACTGACCAACCAGGGCCCTAGACATCTTAATAAACATTGAGATGTGAATTTTATTTTTAGACTTTCCATTTAAACTTAAATCCACTAGATAATTGTCAACTATATTTTCAGCTTTCTGTTGTGTAGATGCAGTTTAAATATTAATTTCCATAGGAGAAATACAAATAAACTAAGAAAGTGAAATTTAAAACAAACAACACTCCTTGTTTTTATTTTTAAGATAGTCTTCCCAAAATGTCCCTTGAAAATCTCTAAGAAAGAGCAGAGTTAATTTCCTTAGTGGAACAAAATATCCTGACTAATCAAAATAATATTTTCAGATCTCTTATTCAAAGGATTACGGTTTAGTTAAAGAATAAGGAGTAAGGAAGTTATGTTTGATGCAAAACAAGCCTGGCACCAGTAGGGATGCTACTTCAGGAATAATATATTGTCCTTATTACTCTGCTGATATATAGATATGACAATAAATAGACATTATCTTAAGGTGATAACAGCATTCTACCAGATCCAGAATAGATAAATTGCATCGTGTAGTTTCTTGATTTAATATACACATGAATTTTTAAAAGACCAAAGCAAAACTTATTTCTATATGGAAATGACAAGGAATGAAGAGACAAAGATAACTGCGTGTGCTTTGTTCAACCCTGCTGTCATGCATTGCATCGCATTGAAAACATTTTTATTCAATTTTAAACCTGTTGATTGATGAGCTATTTTTAGTATTCTTTCTCTTGGAAATGTACCAGGTATGTACACACATAATGCAATTTGTTTCTCACATACAAAACACTTTAAATTGAGTAAAAACAAACAGCTTTCTAATTTCATGACATGTGGAAAAGAAATTATATTATGAATTTGCAGTAAAAATGAAATGATAGAAGTGAATTCCCTCATCTATTCTTCTTCAACTTGAGGGGATCTTAACTAAGAAAGTGGTATAGAAGGTAGTATGAGCCAATAATAAAACCAACTATTAAAAAACATTACATTTTTAAATGTTCTAGTAATGTATTGATCTGCATATTACCCCAGCACTTTTACATAACTTGTAAATTTTGAAAGTTTGCCTTTGTGGCAAGTTAATGACAATGAGCGCTATCTCTTTCAATTTAGGAAAATTCATCTATTTAAAGTGACCTGTACTTACAGCTTTGTTTTTTTTTTTTTTTTTTTTCGTTTTTGAGACGGAGTCTTGTTCTGTTGCCCAGGCTGGAGTGCAGTGGTGCGATCTTGGCTTATTGCAATCTCCACCTCCTGGGTTAAAGTGATTCTCCTTCCTCAGCCTCCCAAGTAGCTGGGACTACAGGTACACACCACCACACTGGGCTAATTTTTGTGTTTTTAGTAGAGACGGGGTTTCACTATGTTGGCCAGGTTGGTTTCGAACTCCTGACCTCAGGTGATCCACCTGTCTTGGCCTCCAAAAGTGCTGGGATTACAGGCATGAGCCACCGTGCCCGGCCCTAACTTTGTAATTTGAAAGCTATCGAGCCAGTACAAGAAATAAAATCCTGCCTCTATGATAATAGATTTAGAAGCCTCTAATGCAACATTGCTAGTAATACGATTTTGGAAGCAATTTCAGCCCACAAAGTCAAGCAATGATCTGTAGGATTGATTTTACTTCACTGAGGGTATATTAATGTGCCATTACTTTGGATTTCAGAAATAACAAATGTGTTTCACTATATACATGAAAACAGTGAAGTCAAGGTTGATTTTGAATTACTACATTATTTAATACACATACACCTATTTTTAAAAATATTATTTAAAATTAGATATTTGGGAACTATTATAATGTGTCAGGTTAATTTTCTGTGGTTTCTAACAGGTAAACTTCTGTTGATCAAATGCATTATTGTAATCTATTATGATACAAAAATGCTCTGTGTTAGGACATATGGATAAGTTCCAGTTTCTAGGCTGACCTTAAAGTGCTAATTTTGGTCTTCTGGTAATAAGGACAGAGATTAATCATGAGTTTTCCCGCTAGACATGAAAAATAATAATTTATTTCATATTTGGGAATGTGAATTTCAAAAGATGAAAAAACATCCTCAATAGTTAATGCCATCTAGTGCTGAACACATAGCAATGGCAAAGAATGGGTGAAATGCTGTAACAACACAGAAAATATACAGAGTACAGAGCCACCTAGTGGTTATTTTAGCATTTCAAAATAGTCATATCTACTTGGATAAATGAATTATTAAGTATTAGGTGTCCCACAATTCTAAAACATTTTCAGTTTTTAGATGGCATCAAATTTAATTTCATTCCATGAATCTTGACTGTCTGTAATAAAGGTCAGCAAACAATGGCCTGTGGGCAAAATGTAGCTTACCACCTATTTCTGCATAGTGCATAAGCTAACAATGGTTTTTACATTTGTATATAGTTGAAAAACCCCAAAGAAAAATAATACTTTGTGACACATGAAGATTCTATAAAATTGTAATTTTATTGCTTATATATATTTTTGCTTATATATAATTTTATTGCTTATATATAACTGGAACACAACCTTGCTCATTTGTTTACATGTCTCTCGTTGCTTTGGACTACAATGAAAGAGAAAAGTAGTTGGAACTATACGTGGCCTGTAAAGCCTAAAATTTACTATCGGGCCCTTTACAAAAAACAAATTTGTTGGCTTCTACTCTAAAATATGTTGCAATTTGAAAAACACGCCAAGAAAGAAAGAATGCATGCATATATTTTATGTAGTGTGTGTAATATAAAATGTGATATACGAAATGGCATCACTCTGGTTCAAAACACAAAAATAAAGTTCAGGAAGCTATTTCAAGAAGATTGCCTGCATTACCTGCAAAAAGAAAACAGAAACAAACAAAAAACCAGGAACTTGCCTTGAACCTTTGAACTGGGCCAAACTGCAATGACCACAACATCCTGGAAAACAGCCGGATTTCACCAACACTGCAAATTCCTGAACAGCAACAACCAATGAACTACGGATTTGTGTACTAAGCCAGCTGCCTCCATCAATGATCATTCTTTCAAAGCAACTTGTGTAATCACCTTTAGCTTCCCTTCAAAAACCCTTACTTCCCTCCCTTTCTTCTGAACGCAATTTGGCTTCTAGCCAAATATGTGTCTTCCAAATAGCAATTCCTAAGACACCAATAAATGCCTAGTCTTACTGCACTGCAGTGTGGTCTTTCGCCTCTTGGTTGACAGTAATATATGTGTTTGTACATCTGTGTAAATCTGGTTTCTTTACTATATCTATTATTCATATCATTTATTTTGTTCCAATTATACATTATAATTATATGTATATATATTATATACAATTATACATTATATGTATATTATATGATTTTTTGTACAGCTTTATTCTTGGGGATTCTAGGACACAGGCTTCAAGTTTTGGCTCCATTATTGTTTTCTTTATCCTTTTCTCCACTGATGGTTCATGCAGCTTCCTGAGTGCACAAAGCCTCCAAGACATTCCTGTGATCCATAGCCCCACATTGGACTGTCCAAGTGTGCTTCACACCATCTGGGTGATTTCTTTACAAAGGCCCCACAGGGGTGAAGAGTTGTAAATCATTGCTTGGCATTTCCAAAGGGCTCAATAGATGGACATTCTATTAACACTGCATGAGGAGGAGAGGCCAGCCTCCATCTTCCCTGTCCAGAGATTTTGATAGTATGATGCCTCTATAAAATGGAATGAAGCCCAAAATAAATATAGAGATGCCAATGCTAAAGGGTGGAAAACTCCAGTAAAATTACTCTAAGAAATAATCAGGCATTGTGGCTGCCTTTTACATGTGAAAAGGGAAGGATGCAAAACTGCAAGAGAGAGATGAATTAATGTATTTCTGCTGCTGTGGACATTAGGCTGCTGTGATTGTGGCAAAATGATTTTGAAACATTCGTGAGATTTGCCTGATATTTATCTTCTCAGACTTCCCTGACAAATATAATTAATTTATAGTTTGGTTTGTAAAACATTGAGACATAACAAACATTAAAATACATTTTTAAGATGCATTGGTTTGAAAATCATCATTTAAATTTTTATTCCTCCTTGCATTTTACAACCTTAATTTTACTAATAACGATGCTATTTGAAGATAATACAAAGAAGAAATTTTTATATAAATAGAACATAGAAACTTCATATGAGGTCTCTACTCTAACCCCTTTTGCCCAATAGAAGAGGCTCCTCGTGAATATTTTTGTCAATACCTGTTAAGAAACAGAAATAATTGGGGTTGTAATTGCTCCACATTCTGGCCAACACTTATCTTTTGTGGTTGTTGGTGTTTTGTTTTGTTTTTTCATGACAGCCATCTTAAGAGGTAGGAGGTAAAATGTCATCGTGATTGTGACTTGCATTTTCATTATTATTAATATAAAATATGTCACGTTATCTGAAATCTGTAGCTCTGAAATATGAGTATTGATATAAACATTATTGATGAGGAAATTGAAATAAGAATGATTAAATTATCTGTCCAACCTAAAACAGCTTGTAGGTGGTGAAGCTTTGTTTTGAATCAAGATCATTGTTTTAAATTAATAAGTATAGTGCTTAGTACCAGTTGAGGTTTAATAATACATCTATTGTATTACTAATTTTGTACCACATTTATAATAAAACTAAAATGTTTATTATTGTTGAAAAATGAAGCAATTAGTGTTCTGTTGGAGAATGGAGTTACAGCGGTGCTGAGCCAGGGACCCAGCATCACCTCAATTGTTTCTGGCCCAGCAAGATCTTTCCTATTACCTTCCCAAGGGAGGTGCATAAAAGGCACAGAAAAGAAGAACAATCTTTGTTATTCAGTGGGGTTTTAGCTCCAAATTCCAAAGTAGAGCACTGCAAAGCAACATAGATCACCCCTGGAAGGCTAAATAATCCTTGGTCTAGAGGACAGAAGACATAGAACCCAGAATCAAAGCAGTCTAAGTGGTCTTCTAGCTTTCAAGGCCCCACACCAAATTTATTATTTACTATTTTAATTAGAAAAAAAGGCTGCACCCAATTTTCATCTTAATTGCTGGCCATTGGACCCCACTTCCGTGAACGAGAAAAGGTGCGTAAATGGAGAAAAAAAGGTAAAGCCATCCAGATGAGGCCAAACCCTATGGGTGAGGAAGAAGTGAGGGTGTGAGGTAGGGTGAAAAAGATCAAGTTCATTTGACAGGACTCTTTAAGGACTTAGAACACTAAATCCAATCAAGGATTGACCTACTAAATAAGGACCCTTGCATACTGGATGCACTGTATGTGTGTGTGTGTGTGTGTGTGTGTGTGTGTGTGTGTGTGTGTGTGTGTGTGTGTGTGTGTATGTTGATCATAACTATATATTGAAGAAAGAATAATGAAAAAAGGAGACCTTGAATGTTTCAGAAAGACTGTAGATTTACTAATGGAGAAGTTGCCTATTCATTTGTTTAACATTTGGAGTTCTATTTTTATTAATTTAAATTCTACCTCTATTTCCCTTATAACTTCCGCTCAACAATTACTTCTAGTTTTACTTCTAGTTCTGCCTTCTGGAAATATATATATAAAGTTGATGTGACACATTTGCTCATGAAACTGCAGCAATTACAAGATTTATCCTTTATCACATCAGATGCAAAACTTGATCACTACTCCCTCCCTACACATACATACACACAGAGGCAGCAAAAAGTTAACATCTGAATGCATATAGAATTTAAAGTATAATAATAAAGAAAAAAAAGAATGCCGAATTTATAGATATGATCCCAAAAGCAAGGCAACAAAAGCAAAAAAAAAAAAAATAGGATTACATTAAACTAAAAAGCTCCTGCAAAGCAAACGAAATAGTCAACAGAGTGAAGGGACAACCTAAAGAATGGGAGAACATCTTTGCAAAGCATACATCTGATAAAGGGTTAATATCCAAAATATATAAGGGACTCAAACAACTCAATAATAAACAACCCGATTTTAAAATGGGCAAAGGATCTGAACAGACATTTCTCAAAAAAAAGGTATACAAATGGCCAACAGACATGAAAAAATGCTCAACATCCCTAATTATCAGAGAAATGCAAATTAAAACAATGAAATATTACCTTGTATTTGTTAGAATGCTTACTAACAAAAAGGTGAAACATAAGTGTTGGAAGAATATGAGGAAAAGAAAGCCATTGTACAATGTTGGTGGGAATGGAAATTAGCACAGCAATTATGGAAAATAGTATGGAGGTTCATCAAAAAATTAAAAATAGAATTACCATATGATCCAGCAATCCTACTACTGCTTATATATCCAAAGAAAATGAAATCAGTAAGTTGAAGAGATATTTTCACTCCCATATTCACTGCAGCATTATGCACAATAGCCAAAATATGGAATCAACCTAAATATCCATCAACTGCTGAATGGATAGAGAAAATGTGGTAAATATGTACAACAGAATACTAGTCAGCCTTTAAAAAGAAGAAATTCTGTTATTTGACACAGCATAGATGAAACTCGATGACATTATGTTAAGTGAAATAAGCCAAGACACAGAAAGACAAATACTGCATGAGCTCACTTATATGTGGAATCTAAACAGTTAAACTCACAGACACAGAGAATAAAATGGTGGTCCTAGAATCTTAGTGGGAGGATTGGATAGATGTTGGACAAAGGATACAAAATTTCAGTTACATGGGAGTAATAAGTTCAAAAGATCTATTGTACAACATGATGACTATAGTTTATAACAGCATATTGTATTTTTGTAAATTGCTAAGAGATTAGATCTTAAGCGTTCTCACCACAAAAAAATTTAAGTATGTAAGATAATGGATATGTTAATTAGCTTGATTTAGCCATTGTACATGGTGTTAAATATACGTGATTTTTATTTGCCAACTAAAAAGGTTTTTTAAAAAAAATAAAAGGAACCTGACTTAAGGATACCATAATCTTTTAAAGTGGGCTGCTGACAAATCTGCCTAATCCTTGCCCTAGAAAGACACATTCTTTATTATCCTGAATAGTGAACAAATAGGCCCTTTGTTGCCTATCCCAGAAGGAGACAATATTTCTGTCTTTCAAGTGGTTCGCCATACAAACATCCTTGAAAAGATAGTTTAGGACAAAAGCTAATTCAAGGTGTGCAAAATGCAAGGGACCCATGGAAAATTATCTCCCAAATATATATGTGTGTGTGTATATATATATAAAATTTATACTCATAAAAGTTAATTTTTGCATAAATTGGATCCATTTTTTAGTGACATGCTTTTCTTTATGGACATCTTACCTTGTCAGTATACCTCATTCTTCTCAACAGCTACACAGTATTGCATAGGGTCAACATGCCATAATTTATTATAATTCTGAACTACTTCCCTATTAATGTTCATCTAAATTTTCCCCGATATCTTGCTGTTACCAAAAGATGCTGGGATAGATATGCTTTTGTAACGATGCTTCAGTATTTCTATAGCAAAGATTAATAAAAAATGAAATTTCTTTCTCAAAACACGTGCATTGAAACATTTGAAGGATAGGTACAAGTTGTCTATGTCAAATTATGTACCCCCAACAGTATGAGTTTCCAAGCTCTATTTTCCAGAGTGCTAACATACTTATATGCTCCCATTAAGGATGAACCGATGAAAAGATATGATTTAAAATTATCATTGGGTTCCCCATCGTCTCAGCCGAAAATCTCCTTAAGCTGATAAGCAATTTCAGCAAAGTCTCAGGATACAAAATCAATGTGCAAAAATCACAAGCATTCTTATACACCAACAACAGACAAACAGAGAGCCAAATCATGAGTGAACTCCCATTCACAATTGCTTCAAAGAGAATAAAATACCTAGGAATACAACTTACAAGGGATGTCAAGGATCTCTTCAAGGAGAACTACAAACCACTGCTCAAGGAAATAAAAGAGGACAAAAACAAGTGGAAGAACATTCCATGCTCATGGGTAGAAAGAATCAATATTGTGAAAATGGCCATACTGCCCAAATTAATTTATAAATTCAATGCCATCCCCATCAAGCTACCAATGACTTTCTAACCGGAATTGGAAAAAACTACTTTAAAGTTCATATGGAACCAAAAAAGAGCCCGCATTGCCAAGTCAATCCTCAGCCAAAAGAACAAAGCCGGAGGCATCACGCTACCTGACTTCAAACTATACTACAAGGCTACAGTAACCAAAACAGCATAGTACTGGTACCAAAACAGAGATATAGATCAATGGAACAGAACAGAGCCCTCAGAAATAACGCCACATATCTACAGCTATCTGATCTTTGACAAACCTGAGAAAAACAAGCAATGGGGAAAGGATTCCCTATTTAATAAATGTTGCTGGGAAAACTGGCTAGCCATATGTAGAAAGCTGAAACTGGATCCCTTCCTTGCACCTTATACAAAAATTAATTCAAGATGGATTAAAGACTTAAATGTTAGACCTAAAACCATAAAAACCCTAGAAGAAAACCTAGGCAATACCATTCAGGACATAGGCATGGGCGAGGACTTCATGTCTAAAACACCAAAAGCAATGGCAACAAAAGCCAAAATTGAAAATGGGATCAATTAAACTAAAGAGCTTCTGCACAGCAGAAGAAACCACCATCAGAGTGAACAGGCAACCTACAGAATGGGAGAAAATTTTTGCAACCTACTCATCTGACAAAGGGCTAATATCCAGAATCTACAATGAACTCAAACAAATATACAAGAAAAAAACAAACAACCCCATCAAAAAGTGGGCGAAGGATACGAACAGACACTTCTCAAAAGAAGACATTTATGCAGCCAAAAAACACATGAAAAAATGCTCATCATCACTGGCCATCAGAGAAATGCAAATCAAAACCACAATGAGATACCATCTCACACCAGTTAGAATGGCAATCATTAAAAAGTCAGGAAACAACAGATGCTGGAGAGGATGTGGAGAAATAGGAACACTTTTACACTGTTGATGGGACTGTAAACTAGTTCAACGATTGTGGAAGTCGGTGTGGCGATTCCTCAGGGATCTAGAACTAGAAATACCATTTGACCCAGCCATCCCATTACTGGGTATATACCCAAAGGATTATAAATCATGCTGCTATAAAGACACATGCACACATATGTTTATTGCGGCACTATTAACAATAGCAAAGACTTGGAACCAAGCCAAATGTCCAACAATGATGGACTGGATTAAGAAAATGTGGCACATATACACCATGGAATACTATGCAGCCATAAAAAATGATGAGTTCATGTCCTTTGTAGGGACATGGATGAAGCTGGAAACCATCATTCTTAGCAAACTATCGCAAGGACAAAAAACCAAACACCACATGTTCTCACTCATAGGTGGAAACTGAACAATAAGAACACATGGACACAGGAAGGGGAACATCACACACCAGGGGCTCTTGTGGGGTGGGGGGAGGGGGGAGGGATAGCATTAGGAGATATACCTAATGCTAAATGATGAGTTAATGGGTGCAGCACACCAACATGGCACATGTATACATATGTAACAAACCTGCACGTTGTGCACATGTACCCTAAAACTTAAAGTATAATAATAATTTTAAAAAATAAAATAAAATAAAATAAAAATAAAAAATAAAATAAAATTATCATTGGGTAGTACTTTTTGAAAACTAAAAAATGTAATTTTGCCCTCTGTACCAAATTTATTCCTATACAAATGCTGGAAGCTGGCTATTATTAGTTTCAATTTTAAATAAATAAAGGGAAGCATTTCAATAAATGAGAAAACTATGGAAAAGAGAGAAGTAATCAGAGCTTCCAGTGTTAATTTCTTATATTTTTGTATTCAATGCTGCCGCCTTCCCTGAGACAAATAAGGTATACGCAATCTATGAGGCCATACATCAAAAGGAATGCAAGAACTTCCTACTGGAGCATTTCTACAATGTATTTTATCCCACATAAGCAACTTTGCTACATAGCTTCATCACGTTTTCCAAAACTGAGTTTCATGGCAGTGGACTTGAGACTAGGGATTCTTACTGAGCTTGATGTCAACTAAAACTTGTTTGGTTTTTGTTGTTTTGTGTTTTTGTTTGTTATTTGATGCTGCTGCTTCTGTTGTTATACTTTTAAAATAAACTGCCACTTAGCTGGGTATCCCCAACCTATTTGTGTGTGTAGGTATAATGTTGTATTTTACTTCTGAATGAATAACTTAATACGACTCCTAAATGCATCACCTTGCCAACTTCAGCTCATATTTCCAGATTGTCAAGATCTTTTCACACTTGATTCTGTCTTCTATCATATTTGCTGACTCTTCCATTTCTACATCATCCATTATTTAATAAATACAGAATTCATTCAACTCACTTATTAAAGTGTTGAACAAGACGTATCCAAACCCAAGCACATACCTATGCCAGCAATATCTTATCTGAGGGTGGACATCATTCTCTTTACAAGCCTGTCTTGATTTTCATCAGTAGAGCAATGGCCATGAATTCAATCCAATGTCACTGGGTCAGGTGTAGGGTACACAAGATGACTGTAGTAAAATGAAATGCTAATGGAAGGGAGAAAGCTGCCACTTTTCACATATATCTGTAGTTATGTAGGCTTCATGGGAAAGGTAGTGTAAAAAGATAGCACATACATAGAATTAAATTCTAGTAAAATAAGATGAGCTTAATTTATTCATTTTGAGCATTGATATAATGAATAATTTTACTTATATATTTATTTATTTTTAGGTGCAAACTTTTTTATTTTTATTTTTTGTGGGAACATGGCATATATATTTTTAGGGTACATAAAATATTTTGATACAGACATACAATGCATAATAATCACATCAGGATAAATGGGGCATCACCTCAAGCATTTATCCTTTCTTCGTGTTACAAACAATCCACTTATACACTTTTAGTCATTATAAAATATACAATAAATTATTGGTGACTGTGGTCACTCTGTTGTGCTATCAAATACTAGATCCTATTCTATTTAACTATATTTTATAACCCATTAACTATCACCTCTTTCCCTACAACTACCCTTCCTAGCCTCTGGTACCCATCCTTCTACTCTCTATCTCCATGAGTTCAACTGTTTTAATTTTTAGCTCCCACAAATGAGTGAGAACATACAAAGTTTGTTTTTCTATGCCTAATTTCATTTAACATAATGTCCTCCAGTTCCAACCATGGTGGTGGAAATGATAAGATCTCATTCTTTTTTTATGGCTGAATAATAAATACTTCCTTGTGTATATGTACCACTCTTTTCTATTTATCTGTTGATGAACCCTTAAGTTGCTTCCAAATTTTGGCTATAGTAAGTACTGCTGCAATAAACGTGGGAGTGCAGATATCTCTTCAATGTACTGATTTCCTTTCCGTTGGGTATATACCTAGCTGGGGGATTGCTGGATCATATAGTAGTTCTAATTTTAGTTTTTTTGAGGAACCTCCAAATGGTTCTCTATAGTGGCTGTACTAATTAACATTCCCACCAACAGTGTACAAGGGTTCCCTTTTCTCCACATCCTTGTGAGCATTCATTATTGCCTGTCTTTTGGATAAAATACATTTTAACTGGGGTGAGATGATAACTCAATGTAATTTTACATTGTATTTAGCTGATTATCACTGATGTTGATATACCTGATTGCCATTTGTATCTCATCTTTTGAGAACGGTCTATTTAGATCTTTAGCCTGTTTTTAAATTGGATTATTAGTTTATTTTCCTATAGAATTGTTTGAGTTCCTTATATATCCTGGTTATTAATCCCTTGTCAGATGGATCTTTTGCAAATATTTCCTCCCAATCTTTAGGTTGTCTCTTCACTTTTTTCATTGTTTCCTTTGCTGTGCAGAAGCTTTTTTAACTTGATGAAATCCCATTGGTCTATTTATGTTGGTTGCCTGTACTTGTGGGGTATTACTCAAGAAACCTTTACCCAGTCCAATATCCTGGAGACTTTCCCCAATGCATTCTTTTAAGAGTTTCATGGTTTGAGGTCTTAGATTTAAGTCTTGCATTCATGATTTTTGTATATGGTGAGAGATAGGGTTCTACTTTCACACTTTGCATATGGATATCTAGTTTTTGCAGCACCATTTATCGAAGAGACTATCGTTTCTTCAATGTATGTTCATGGCACCTTTGTTGAAAATGAGTTCATTGTAGATGTACAGATTTGTTTTTGTTACTGATTTTTGTAGGTTGATTTTGTGTCCTGCAACTTTACTGAATTTGTCAGTTCCAAATAGAAGATCGTATCATCTGCAAACAAGGATAATTTTACTTCTACATTTCCAATTTGGATGCCCTTTTTTTTTTCTCTTGTCTGATTGTTATAGCTAGAACTTTTAGTACTATGTTGAATAACAGTGGTGAAATTGGGTATCCTTGTCAGTTTCCAGATCTTAGAGGAAAGGCTTTCATTTTTTCATCCATTGAGTTTGATACTAGCTGTGGGTCTGTCATATATGGCTGTTATTGTATTGAAGTATGTTTCTTCAATACCCAACTTTTTTAGGGTTTTTATCAAAAGCGGGGGTTGAAATCCTAGTTTTTGACAAAATAGACTTTAAACCAACAAAAATCAAAAAAGACAAAGAAGGACATTGCATAATGGTAAATGGATAAATTCAACAAGAAGAGTTTATTATTCTAAATATATATGCACCCAATACAGGAGTACCCAGATTCATAAAACAAGTTCTTAGAGACCTACAAAGAGACTTAGACTCCCACACAATAATGGCGGCAGACATTAACACCTCACTGTCAATATTAGATAGATCATCAAGACAGAAAATTAACATGGATATTCAGGAATTGAACTCAGTTTTACTTTTTTGATGTGTCTTTGTCTGGTTTTGCTATTAGGGTAATACTTCCTTCTCCTTTAAATGTTTGGTAAAAATCAGCAGAAAGGCCATCAGGTCCAGGCTTTTATTTGCTGGAAGACTTTGAATTATGGCTTCGATCTCATTACTTATTATAGGCCTCTTTAGCTTTTGGATTTCTTTGGGGTTAAATTTTGGTAGATTGAATGCCTCTAAGAATTTATTAATTTTTTTCTAAGTTTTCCAACTTATTGGCATATAGTTGCTCATAATAGCCACTAATAATCCTTTGAATTTCTGTAGTACCAATTGTAATGTCTCCATTTTTATCTCTGATTTGATTTATTTTGGTCTTCTATCTTTTCTTCTAAGTTACACTGGCCAAAGGTTTGTCAATTTTTTTTCTTTTAAGAAAACCAGCTTTTCATTTTCTTGATCTTTTGTATTGTTTTCTTTGTATCAACTTTATTCGTTGTGTGATTATTATAACTTGTTTTCTTCTACTAATTTAAGGTTAGGTTGGCTTTCTCATTTTTAATTTTTTAAGATGCATCATTTGGTTGTTCATTTGATGTTTTTCTAGTTTTTTGATATAGGTGCTTATAGCTATAAACTTTCCTCTTATTAATGCTATCACTGTATATGATAGGTTTTGGTATTTTGTCTTTCCATTATCATTTAAGGAAATGTTTTAATTTCTTTCTTAATTTCTTCATTGATCCACTGGTCATTTGGGAGCATATTGTTTAATTTCCATGTGTTTGTATAGTTTCTAAAATTCTTCTTGTTATTGATTTCTAGTTTTATTCCATTATAGTCAGATAAGATACTGGATATAATTTCAATTTTTTTTAATTTTGTAAGACTTGTTTTGTGGTCTAGCATATGGTATATCCTTGACAATGATCCATGTGTTGAGAATGTGTATTCTGCAACCACTGAATGAAATGTTCTGTAAATATCTATTAGGTACATTTGTTCTTATAGTGTAGATTAAATCTGATGTTTATTTACAGATTTTCTGTCTGGAAGATCTGTCCAATGCTGAAAGTGGGGTGTTAAAGTCTCCAGCTAGTCTTGTATTGGGGCCTATCCCTCTCTTTAGCTCTAATAATATTTCCTTTATATATCTGGCTGCTCCCCTGTTGGGTACATATATACTTAAAATCATTATATCCTCTTGCTGAATTGACTCCTTTTTAATGATGTAGTGATTTTCTTTGTCTTTTTTATAGCTTTTTCTTGAAATCTATTTTGACTGATATGAGTATAGCTGCCCATGATCTCTTTTTGTTTCCATTGAATATCATTTTCCATCCTTTTATTTTCAGTCTGTGTGTCTTCATAGGTGAAGTATGTTTCTTGTAGGCAAAAAAATCATTGGGTCTTGTTTTTCTATCCCTTCAGCCACTCTGTATCTTCTGATTGGAGAGTTTGGTCATATCATTTTCTTATTTGTTTTCTGATTATTTTGTGGCATTATCTTTGTTTTCTCTTTTCTTCCTGTCTTCCTTTTAGTGAAGAGATTTTCTCTGCTGATATGATTTAGTTCCTTGCTTTTTATTTTTTGAGTGTCTGATATGTATTTTCTGGTATGAGGCTACCATGAGGCTTGCAAATACTATCTCATAACCCATTATTTTAAGCTGATGACAATTTAACACTGATTACATAAAAAACAAACAAGCATAGAGAAAACTCCTAAAAATCTGCTCTTTAACTTTATCCTCCCACTTTTTAACATTTTGTTGTTTCTATTTGTATTGTACTATATCTTAGAAAGCTACTGTAGTTATTACTTTTGATTGATTCATCATTTATTCTTTCTACTCAACATATGAGTAGTTTACTCACCACAATTGCAGTAAATAATATTCTGTGTTTTTTGTGTACTTGCTACTACCAATGATTTTTTCACCTTCAGATGACTTCTTATTGCTCATTAATGTTCTTTTTTATTTAGATTGAAGAACTCTATTTTGCATTTCTTGTGGTACAGCTCCAGTGTTGATAAAATACCTGATCTTTTGTTTACCTGAGAAAGTCTTTATTTTCCCTTCCTATTTGAAGGATATTTTTGTTGGATATATTATTCTAGGGTAAATGTTTTTCTTCCTTTAACACTTTATATCATACCACTCTTTCCTGGCCTGCAAGGTTTCTACTGAAAAGTCTGCTACCAGATGTATTAGAGATCTATTTTGTGTTCGTTCTTTCTCTTCTCTTGCTGCTTTTGGGATCCTTTCTTGATCCTTCACATTTGAAAGATGTATTATTAAAAGTCTTAGAGTAGTCTTATTTTGTTTACATATTCTTGTTCTCTAACCTTCTTGTACTTGAATGCTGATATCTTTCCCTAGGTTTGGTATGTTCTCCGTTATTATCCCTTTGAATAAACTTTATACCCTTATGTCTCTTTCTACTTTTTCTTTAAAGCCAATATCTCTTAGATTTCCCCTTTTGAGGCTATTTTCTAGATGATGTAGGCATACTTCATTTATTTTTATTATTTTGTCTTTTGTCTTCTCTGACTGTGTATTTTCAAATAGTCTGTCTTGAAGCTCACTAATTCTTTCTTCCAGTTGGTCTATTCTGCTGGTAAGAGACTCTGATGCGTTCTTCAATATGCCAATTGCATTTTTCAATTCCAGAATTTCTCCTTGCTTCTTTCTAATTATTCAATTTCTCTGTTAAATTTATCTGATAAGATTCTGAATACCTTCTTATGTTAATCTTGAATTTTGTTGAGTTTCCTCAAATGGCTATTTTGAATTCTTTGAAAGGTCATATATCTCTGTCTCTTCAGAATTGGTCCCAGGTGCCTTATTAATGCATTATATAAGGGTATATTTTCCTGGATGGTCTTGATGCTTGTAGATATTCATCAGTGTCTGGGCATTGAAAACTTTGGTATTTATTGTAGTCTTCGCAGTCTGGACTTCTGTGTAGCTGTCCTTCTGGGGAAAGCTTTCTAGGTATTTGAAGGGACTTGGGTGTTGCAATCTAGGTTTCTGATCACTGCAGCCATATCTGCATTAGAGGGCACCCCAATCCAGTAATGCAATGGCTCTTGCAGAGTTATAGAGGTACTGCCTTGGTGGTCTTGGATAAGATCCTGAAGAATTCTCTAGATTATCATGCAGAGATTCTTGTTCTCTCCCCTTACTTGTTTCCAAACAGAGTTTCTCTCTTTCTCTGTGCTGAGCTGCTTGGAGCTGGGGGAGTGGTGACAAAAGTATCCCTATTGCCACCACCGCTGGGACTGTGCTGGGTCAGACCTGAAGCCAACACAAAACTGGGTCTTATACAAGACCCACACTAACCACTGCCTGGCTACTGCCTATGTTTGCTCCAGTCCTTAAGGCTCTACAATCAGCAGGTGGCAATGCCTGACAGGCTTATTTCCTTCTTTTCAGGGTGGCAAGTTTCCACCAGCCCTGGGTGGGTTCAGGGATACCATCCAGGAGACAGCTTCTGGAGTGGGAAACATTAGGAATCTACCTGGTGCTCCATTCTACTGTGACTGGGTTGGCACCCAAGCCACAAAACAAAGTCCTTCCCCCTCTTCCTCCCCATTTGCACAAACATAAGAGTCTCTCCCCCATGGTCACCACTGCTCCAGGCCCATGGCAAGTACTGCCAGGCTACTGTTGATGTTCACTCAAGTCCTCAGGGATCTTCATCCAGCTTGTTGTGAATGCTGCCAGGCCTCAGACTCTCTATTCGGGGAAGTGGGCTCCCCACTGGCCAAAGACAGGTCCAGAAATGCCAGGACAGGTCCAGAAGAGGCAAGGTCCAGAATCAGGGACCCCAACAGACCACTTGGTGCTCTACCCTCCTGTGGCTGAGCTTATACCTAAGCTGCAAGACAAAGTCTTCTTTAGTCATTCCTCTGCTTTTCTCAAGCAGGAGTCTCTTCATATAGCAACCACAGCTGGGAATGTGCTGGGTCACACCTGAAACCAGTACATTTCTGAATCTCACCTGAGACCCATGACAAGTACTGCCTGGCTACCACTGCTGACTATTCAGAGCCCAAGGGCTCTTTAGTTACCAGGTGATGAATCGTACCAGGACTAGGTCCTTTTCTTTAAGGCAGGGGGTCCCCTTCTGGCCTAAGGTGTGTCTAGAAATGTCATCCAGGATATAGGGCCTAGAATAAGGGCCTCAGGTCTCTGCCTGGTGCCCTATCCTACTGTGGCTAAGCTGGTATCCAAGTTGCAAAACAAATTCCTCTTTACTCTTCCCTCTCCTCTACTGACTGCTTAATGGACAGAGGGTTTCCTTTTGGTGTAAGGAAAACATTCTTGAATTAGATATCGATGATGATTGTACAGCATTGTGAATACACTAAACAGCACTGAATTGTAGACTTTAAAATGGTTACAATGGTGAGTTTTATGTTATGTAACTTTTATCCTAATTTAAAAAATCATAATTGCTGAAATTATGAAAAGTAATTCAGCAGGCAGATGGCTTCTTTTTTTTTTTTTTTTTTTGAGACAGAGTTTCACTCTTGTCACCCAGGGTGGAGTGCAATGGTGTGATCTTGGCTCACAGCAACCTCTGCCTCCCGGGTTCAAGGTATTCTCCTGCCTCAGCCTCCCAAGTAGCTGGGATTATAGGCGCCCACCACCAAGCCCAGCTAATCTTTTTTTTTTTTTTTTTTTTAAGTAGAGACAGGGTTTCACCATGTTGGCCAGGTTGGTCTCGAACTCCAGGCCTCAGGTGATCCACTCACCTCAGCCTCCCAAAGTGCTGGGATTATAGGCATGAGCCACCACACCTGACCAGATGTCTTCTTTAGAAAAAAAAATGAACAATAATAGCTAATAAACCTGCCAAGTGAATATGAGAAATTCACTGCTTTCTGCAAATTAAAAAAATAGTAATGAGCATTTAAAATTATTCATTAGGAGGCAGAGCAAGATGGCTGAATAGAAGTCTGCACTGATCTGCCGGGCGCAGTGGCTCATGCCTGTAATCTCAGCACTTTGGGAGGCTGAGGCGGGCGGATCACGAGGTCAGGAGATTGAGACCATCCTGGCTAACAAGGTGAAACCCCGTCTCTACTAAAAATACAAAAAATTAGCTGGGCGTGGTGCCACACGCGTGTAGTCCCAGCTACTTGGGAGGCCAAGGCAAGTGAATTGCTTGAATTCAGGAGGTAGAGGTTGCAGTGAGCCGAACTCATGCCACTGCACCCCAGCCTGGGCTACAGAGTGATACTCCATCTAAAAATATATAAAAATAAATAAAAATACCTGCACTGATCATCCTCTCCTCTCAGAAACAACATTGATTATTTAGAACTATATTGTCTAATTTCCGTACATTTGCAAACTTTCAAAATTTCCTTCTCTTATTGATTTCTAATTTCATTTCAGTGTGGTCTGAAATGTACTTTGCATTATTTCTATCATTTTAAAACCATTTAGGTATGCTCTATTGCCTAGCTATGATCTATCCTGAGAAATGTTCCATGGGAACTTGAGAAGACTGTACATTTTCCACTATATGTTAGGACTACTTGTTTACAATGTTGGCTAATTACTCTCTTTACTTATTGATCATCTAGGAGTTGTTCTGCACATTATTGAAAGTATACTTTTGAAATCTCTATTATCAGTGAACTGTATTTAACCATCCAATTATGTCAGTTTGCCTTTGTATATTTTGCAGCTCTGTTGTTAGGTGAGCATATAATTAACTGTCACATATTCTTGAAGTGTTGACACTTTTATCATATATAGTGTCCTATGTCTCTTACAAAAACTTACTTAAATTCTATTTGGTCTGATTTTATTATAGCCACTTCAGCCCTATTTTATATTTCCTTGGTATACATTTTACCTTTCTTTCATGTTCAACCTGTTTTTGTCTCTTCTCCCCTTTTACTTTTAGCTGACACATAACAATTGGACATATTTATGGGATACAGAATGATATTTTAATATGTGTCTACAATGTATAATGATCAAATCAGGATAATTAGCATAGTCATCTCCCCAAACATGTATTATTTCTATGTGTAATATAAACATTCAAAATTCTCTCTTCTAGCTTTTTGAGAATTACAATAAATTAGACTTAACTATATTCACCCTACAGTGCTGCAGAAGACCAGAACTCATTCATCCTGTCTAGCCGTAATTTTGTATCTGTTAACCAACCTCTCCTTATTCTCCCCTTGCCACTACCCTTTTCAGCCTCTAATACCACAATTATACTCTGCTTCCATGAACTCAATGATTATTTAGCTCCCACATATGAGTTTGAACATGTGGTTTTATGTTTCTGTGCCTAATTTGTTTTGCTTACCATAATATCCTCCAAGCTTATCCATGTTGCCATGAATGCCAGGATTTTATTCTTTTTTATGGCTAAATAATATTCTAATTTTTATATATACACCACATTTTCCTTTTCCTTTTCCATTTGTCTGTTGATGGGCATTTAGGTTAATTTCATACCTTAGCCATTAGGAATAGTGCTGCAGTAAACATGGGAATACAGGTATCTCTATCACTATACACAATAATTAACTTAAAATGGATTAAATACTTAAATATAAGACCAAAAATTATAAAACTACTAAAAGAAAACAGGCAAAGCACTCCAGGACACTAGTATAGGCACAAATTTTATGAGTAAGACTTCAAAAGCAAAGGCAACAAATAAAAAATAGACAAATAAGACTATATCAAACTAAAAAGCCTTCTGCACAGCAATGGAAACAATCAACAGAGTGAAGAGACAACCTGTAGAATGGGGAAAAATATTTTAAAACTATTCATCTGACAAGGGACTAGTATCCAAAATATACAAAAAATGGAAACAACTCAATAGCAAAAAAACACAAATAATCCCATTAAAAAGTGGGCAATGAATCTTTGTAAACATTTTTCAAAAGAAGACATATAAAATGTCCAAAAGGTATATGAAAAAATGCTCAACATCACTGATCATCGGGGAAATGCAGATCAAAACCACAATGAAGTGTCATCTCACCCTAGTTAAAATGGCTTTTACCAAACAGACAAAAAATAACAAATGCTGGTGAGGACATGGAGAAAAGAATACTCTTATACACTGTTGGTGGGAGTGTAAATTAGTACAGCCATTATGGAAAATAGTGTGGCGGTCTCTCAAAAATCTAAAAATAGTTTCTCAAAAAACTAAAAAACTACCATATGATCCAGCAATGCCATTACTGGGTATTTATCCAAAGGAAAAGAAATCACTATTTGTGTCAATCTAATGTGAGTCTTTTCCACACAGCATAGAGATGAATTGTATTTTTCAACCATTGTGCCAATCTGCCTTGTAATTAGACAGTTTAATCAATTTACATTTTATGTAATTACTGCTAAGATAGGAGTTCCTTCTACTCTTATAGTATTTCCTGTCAATATTTTTTTCTTTTTTGTGCCTCAATTCCTCCATTACTATGTTCTTTTGTATTTAATTAATTTTTATTGTAGTGACTTGATTGTTTTCTCATTTCCTTGTCTTTATATATTTTAGTTATTTTTTTAGTGCTTACATGGGGTATTATAATTGACATCTGAAATTTATAACAATCTAGTTTCAATTAATAACAACTTTGCTTGTATAGTATACAAAAACTTTCAGTGGCATATACAATGTCTGTCCTTATATAGCTCTGCCCCCCTTTTATGTTGTTATTGTCACAAATTCCATTTTTATCAATTATATCCCCATTAGCACAGATTTATACTTATTGCTATATAAGAGCAAAAAAGCATTTACAAACCAAAAATACAATAACACTTGTTTTAATAATTTATTCATATGACTTTAAGTTGCTATCTAATTTCCTTTTATTTCAGCCTAAAAAACTCCCTTCAGCATTTTTTATGGGTTGGGTCTATTAACAATTAACTGTCATGCTCTAATTTATATAAGAATGTCTTAATTTCTCCTTCATTTTTGAAGGACAGTTTTGTCAAATAGATAATTCTTGGTTGACAGGTATTTTTTTCTTTCAGTCCTTAAATACATTATCCTACTTCCTACTGATGTGTATGGTTTCTGATGAAAAATCAGTTGTTGATCTTATGGAAGTTCCATTATGTGTCATGGTTTTTTGTTTGTTTACTGTTTCCAAATTTTCTCTTTCTCTTTGGCTTTTGACAATGTATTTATTTTATGTCTTATTATGAATGTATTTGAGATTATCCTATTTTGAATCTGTTGAGCTTTTTGAATGTGTAGATTTATGTCTTTCATCAATATTGGGTAGTTTTTGGGCAATATTTCTTCAAATATTCTTTATGACCATTGATCTCTTTCCCCTCCTTCTGAGATTCCCATAATGTGTGTGTTGGTATGCTTGATGGAATCCCATATGGCTCCTTAGGCTCGTTTCAAATGTCTTCATATTTTATTTTCCTTCTTTTCCTCAGACTGGTTAATCTCAAATGTCCTATCTTCAGACTTGCTGATTCTTTCTTCTGCCCACTCAAATCTGCTGCTGAGCTTCTCTACAGAATTTTCATTTCCATTATTAGATTTTTCAGCTCCAAAATTTCTATTTTTTTAAATAATTTCTATCTTGTTATTGATATTCTGTATTTATCAAGCCATTATTCTCCTGGTTTCTGTTATTTCTTTGCCCATGGTTTTCTTTAGTTCTCTGAGCACACTTAAGATAGTTGATTTAAAGTCTTTGTCTAGTATGTCCAATGTCTGAGCTTCCCCAGAGATAGTTTCTATTAATTTCTTATTTTCCTGGGAATGAACCATACTTTTGTTTCTTTGTGTGCCTTATAATTTTTTGCTAATACTTTTTAAATATTATAATGTGGTAACTATAGAAATCAGATTTTACTTCCTTCCCATGATTTGTTGTTGCTTCTTGTCAGTTGTGGTTGTTGTTTTGGGTAGTATTTTTAGTGACTTTTCTAGGCTATTTTTGCAAAGATTGCATTATTTTTCACTTTATTATTGAGGCCTCTGTTCTATTAAACTTGTGGTAAGCTAATAATTTTATAGGGATTTCCTTAAACACCTGTAGCCAAAAAAAAATTTAATACTCTCCCAGTTTTTGCGTATTTGCTCCATTGTGGTCACCATTTCAATGCTTAGCCAAGCCATTTACAACTCTGCCTTTGCCTTCACTTTATCTTCATGGAACCTAAATGCCAGCCGAAGGTGATAGCTTAGGGTTTTTGCAAGTCTTTTCTGAACATGTATCCAGCCCTTAGTGTGTGTATGACTTTTACATTCTCCAATATAGGTGGCACCTTTTCAAAGCCATTATTCTCCCATGTATCTCCTTCAGCAGTCTCTCCCTTTCCAGGCTTTTCGGCCTGCCTGCTGCTTGCTCTATCTGTTATCCCTCATCTCATGTGGACATGGACTTTAAATGCTTTTGATAAATGCCTACTGGAAAGCCAATCCAGTGCTGAGGGAACTCCATTGGGAAAGCAAAACAAAAGCAAGCCCCTGAGATTATCTCTCAGGGAGCCATCAGACAGTACAAAATACCAATTCTTTGTTCTCAAAGTTGTTCTCAAAGAATTGGTATTTTCTCCTTCTCTGTCACTTGCTAGCCACACCAAGAACCACAAATACTGCAGGACTAAAGAAAGCATAGAGTTTTTCCTTCCTCTTCTACAGTATTTTTTTTAAAAAACTTTTATGGCCGGGCATGGTGGCTCACGCCTATAATCCCAGCACTTTGGGAGGGGGAGGCAGGTGGATCACGAGGTCAGGAGAACAAGACCATCCTGGCTAACATGGTGAAACCCCGTCTTTACTAAAAATGCAAAAAATTAGCCAGGCATGGTGGTGGGCACCTGTAGTCCCAGCTACTAGGGAGGCTGAGGCAGGAGAATGGCGTGAACCCGGGAGGCAGAGGTTACAGTGAGCTGAGATTGCGCCACTGCACTCCAGCCTGGGTGACAGAGCAAGACTCCATCTCAAAACAAACAAACAAACAAACAAACAAAAAAAAAACTTTTCTAATACATATGTGATCTTGTTAGTTGTAAAAATGTCTGCCTTCTCTTATGGACTTTAATTCAATGAAGTTGGACTGTAGTTTAAATGATCACTCATTTCCCAATAATTTCAACAGTACCTGGAAAATAATAGGTGTTCAATAAATGTTTGTTAATCAAGTTCACTCTATATAAAGTAGATGAATTAAGACTCTGAAAGTTTGATGTGACTTGCAGTGACTCACTCATCTACTCAGCAGGGAAATCTAGCCGAAGCACCAGAATTTCCAGGAAAAATATTATGTAGTTTATTTACTTCTCTGAATTTTAATCTCGCCTTGCTACCATGACTTGCCCTCGAGCACACAGACCATGCTGAACTTCCAGAAATTGTGTTAGTTCCTTCATGTGTCCAACCTCAATCCCTGTGCTATGCTCACAGATAGTCTCAAAGGAGGTCTTTAAAAAAAATATATGGACTACTTTCTTCTAACAATTGTATTGTTAAAAAATCCTTTATGAAAAAATACTTTATGGTCAATCCCAACTGCTTTACAGCAAATTAGCCACCCATCATTTTTTCTTGCCCCAAATGCTCAAGATTCCTACAAAGTTCAGGACTAGATAGAGATTACAAGGTAATAATTTCTGTCTATTGTTTTGCTAGTCCACCCAAAGGAATATCTATGCCTTTAATTGCCCACTTTAGATAGCTTTCAGCTTTTGAAAATTCAGTAAGAAAAAATTCCCAGTAAATATCACCATTTGACAAAATATATCACCTTCAGGGGAAGCAAAGTACAAATGTGAACCACATGAACCTAAGAAGCAAAGTGAGCCACACAGATCTGCCAAATTTGATATACTAAAGAGGAACATCATTCTTTTTTAATTGTACATAACACTTTGAGAACATTATTATTCTAAAATGCTAATCCTTATTCAGTGCCCTCAGGCCTTGCTGTAATCCTCTGTAGGAGCAATTTTCACTGACAGTGGCCAGTAGTTCAGTCACTAGTAGGCAAAAGCATTACATTGATAAACATAAATCCTTCAGCTAGGGAAACAATAAATAACTTTAACAGATATGTAATTAATAGGCTGCTCAACAAGTGCTCTGAGCTCCCCAAGCTGGTATTTAAATGCAAATATGCACCAGAGTGTGAAAAGCACGAATGGAAGAGAGAACCACCATGAAACCATGCAGGCTTCCCAAAATTCAACAAGGGGCTTAGTACATGGTAATCATGTAACTGCCCAAGGAGTTCACCTTGCCTGCTGCCTAGACAGAGCCAATTCATCAAGACAGGGGAATTGCAATAGAGAAAGACTAATTCACACAGAGCTGGCTGTGCAGGAGACCATAGTTTTATTATTACTTAGATCAGTCTCTCCAAGCATTCAGGGAGCAGAGTTTTTAAGGACAACTTGGTGGGTGGTGGGAAGCCAGTGAGCCAGGAGTGCTGACTGGTCAGGGATGAAATCATAAGGAAGTTGTCTTCTTGTACTGAGTCAGTTCCTAGGTGAGGGCCACAAGATCAGATGAGCCAGTTTATTGATCTGGGTGGTGCCAGCTGATACATCAAGTGCAAGGTCTGCAAAATATTTCAAGCACCGATCTTCCTAGCAGTTTAGGGAGGGTCAGAATCTTGTAGCCTCCAGCTGCATGACTCCTAAACCATAATTTCTACTCTTGTGACTAACGTTAGTCCTACAAAGGCAGTTTAGTCCCAGGCAAGAGGGAGGTCTGCTTTGGGGAAGGGCTGTTATCATCTTTGTTTTAAACTATAAACTATAAACTGAGTTTCTCCCATGGTTAGTTCAGCCTATGCCCAGGAATCCACAAAGACAGCTTGGAGGTTAGAAGCAAGATGGAGTCAATTAAGTTAGATCTCTTTTACTGTCTCAGTCATAATTTTGCAAAGGCGGTTTCAATCACAACAATATGTCCAGGTCAAGCACTAGTACTTATCTTCCCTTGGAAGTCTGCTTAGGTCCAGCCAACAATTGCACACACTTGTTTAAAAAAGAAACTTCTAATACAGGGGATGGGGAGATAGTATAGAAACAAAAGACAAATATTCTTATGGCCAGCACTCTATGTTTTGTTTTCAAGGATGTTAGATGTAAAATTTAATTTTTCCTTCTGATAATTGTTTTTCAGCCATGGAGTTTCAAGAATATGGTGTATCTAATTCAAAACCTTTAAAATTTATGTTATAAAATGTATTACAGTGTTCTAATAAATCAGCTCTTGGTAGTAACAAATTACCAGTATGTACCATGTATTAAAAAGATAAATGGGAATTTAATAGTTAAGAGAGAAGGTGTTTTCAGATCACACAGCCAAATCACTAACTAATGGACACATTTGTAAACTCGGCAATGATTTACACCAGGGCTCTTGGTTAGAGTGCATAAATCCAGCAGAAGAGTTTTTATCTATCAACTGAGACTTTTGGTCCCTTGTTTATAAATCAAAAAGTTAACAAAGAGTCAGGGGTCTGTAAATCCAGATACTATATTATAAATTTGTAGCTTTTTATTTATAAATAGGTAGCTTTAAGAATTATATATAACAAATAGAAAAATGAATTGCATTTAAAATTAAGTGAAGGTTAGTATTTATAAATCACAATTATAAATAAAATGTCTATATGTTTGCATCACCAACCAATACCATCTCAACCAATTCCAAAACTATGCATTTCATAAGATCATAGCAGGGATGTGCCAAGCAGAATGTCAACACTTGGCAACTTCAGTGCAGGAATTAACTCAATGTTATTCTATTAACTTTAATAGGGAACTTTTAAAAAATATAGCATCTGCATTAAAATTTTTTGTTTCACCATAAAAGGACCAAATAATGGTTATATGGCAAGTCATAACTTGAAAAGACTGCATCTAGTTATAGACATGAAGTTCAAATGTCTTCCTTTTCTCTTAAGATACACTAAATATATTTCCTAAGAAGACCCAATGTAAGGACAATTCTCTCACGTTTTGCTTTGCCTCATAACTTCTCCTCACAGTGGAATCCAAGATGAGCAGGTGTCATTTCAGGGCCAGGTTACTCAGGTCCCATGTGGCCATTTCACACAAGCCACAGGCTGTGACTCTGAAGGAGGTGAGCTTAAGACCCTCACATGACCTCCTGTTTGTGAATTTTCAAATCCCTCCTGAGTGGAGAGGGGAGACTCTCATCACAAAAGAACACAAGAGAAACAGAATCAAACGAAATGAAAAAGGAAAGAAGTAAGAAATCCCTACTGGCTCAGAGACAAGGTTAAATACAACTTGTTTGCCTTTTACTGCCTCTGCTTCAGAAGGACACCCCTGCTAGACTGCCTCCCTGTGAGCTACATCACTGTGGAAGAGCCGGGCCCAAGTGAGGTTCTGGGGAGTCTCATTCCACCAAGGATCCGCTCTGTCCCTTCTCCTAGCATCTCACCCAACCCTTGAGGGTCAGGTCCTTTATTCTCCTGGCTACTCTGAACCTGAGTGAAATATCCTGCTTCCCATTCCAAAGGAAGTGACCCTGCCTTGTGTCCTCTTCTCTCTAGATGGTATGAGTGCCTCACTAAACAATAAACCACCTATGTACCAGATCTGAATGGATGCTAATCTGTGACTCCATGTGGGTTGACATCTTTACATGTTAGTAGGAACCTTCAAGTACTCTTCTTTACTGGAGATAATAATGCAGGACTTTATATAGGCAGCAAAATGTGGGGTAAGAAGCTGTAAGGGAAGGCTGGAGATATTTTACGTGAAAGGTATTTGGGAATAGGGACATCTGCCCTGGAATCACCAGTGCTTACTGCATTGAGTAGAGTGGGGTTAAATAACATCTCAGCAGCCTACTGGATCATAATTGTTAAGGACCTATGTAGAAGGTACCCGCCTTTTTCCTCCTGTTTTCACTCAGTAGTTATTCACGAATGCAGCCACCCTGGACTCTCCTGTATGCCGCTTGCATAAGGTCTAAAACCACAGCATCTTGAGGTTGATGCAATTTCCGGTGAGGAGTGAGGAATAGGAGACCCGAGGCTTATCCTTTGAACCCCTTCTCCACCATGATGACCTCATGACATGCCCTTTGTTTTCTGTCCTTTCACAGTGACCTCGTTGTGCGGCTTCCTCAAATGTAGGTTCATGGACTGCACATCTATATTCATTTTCTGGCTTTCGGTTTGGAAGCTGTGCAGCTCCTCCCTGCATGACACTCCCAGGGAACCCACATAAGAATCCAAATGTCAACTGCGTCCTCATCTCTGACTACAGATGGAACCACTCCCAAGCATGCCATGCAGGTCCCTTGGAAGGGCTTGTACATAGGAGCCACTTAATATGATTTGTTAAATTCTAAAAATACAGGCTTAAAGACACAGTGCATTTCAAAGCTTGAGGAAATGTACTGAGTTATAGGGTTATAAAGCAAATTCATATCAGAAATTAATTAAATGAAATAAAAGAGCACAGATCCTAAAACACAGAATTTGTAGATAATATTATTTCTTCACTTGAAATTTACTCTCAAGTGTATTTAATATCAGACCTAAAGATACATCTGATGTGGCATTGCAGACTCATTTTACCCTTCTGCATTCTTCTTAGAACTTTAGAGACCTGGGTATGTCAACAGCTTATTGGGATAGTAACAAAATGAAAAATCAGAGCAAGTGGTCCCACGAGTTAGGTACAGAAAATCATCCATCGCCCTGCTGAAGCAGCTCCATTAGGTCCAATATAAGCAAACAAAACTTATGAGATTGTATAACATGGTATTTTGCTTCATAAGCATTTGATTACATTTTGTCTATTTTTTGGAATAAGATAGGACTCATTAGTCTGGACACATGCACACACACACATACATACACACAAACTCCCCAATAAATACAAATATATTGATTCTTATAAAGATCAAAATCAGGAATATTTATTGCTCATGCTTTCATTTGCAATACTTGTTGTAAACTCCCAACCACTTAAATGTTTCCCATTATAAGTTCATCAACCCTTAACACGTGTTACTCAAGTTATAATTTTGCTAATATCACCTATTTTTAAAGAACTACCAATGCTACATTACTGATATAACTTTATTCTCTCCAAAAAAATATGGCACTAGTTTCTAAACCTGACTTTATAAAGTTCAGCTAGTCACCAAATAAAGCGCAATGTTTGTCAGCTATTGTAGAGAAACTGGCTGTTATGTGAAATGGGCTGCTCCATCAGCAGATTGCCAGGGATCATTTCCAAATAGAGGTGGGAATATAGGCTGTTTAAATAAATAAACAAACAAACAGAAGATAGAGCCTGTCACTTGCAAAAAGAACAACCAAATCATGACTTGGGGCCTGTGAGGGTTATGTTCCATCTTCTCCAGTTCTACCAACAGCTTTTCTCTGCTCTTCTCTGTGCCCCAGAAGGCTGCATCTTGCAGTGTTCATCAGGGGCTCCTCTGCTCTCTGGCTCCTGTTGGGTTTGGCTGATGGGAGGCACCAGCAAGAGCATGGAGGGCAGGAAGAAAGTGAGGTTGCGGAATTTATTCCTCAAACCTCTTTCAGACTTGGGCAATTGTGGCAGTCACTGTGCCCCTCCACAACTATAGCTCTTACCAGTGACTTCTCTGGCAAGGCTCCCCCTCTCAACTGGTTGCCAAAATGCCTCTCCCCTTCAGGTGTGGTAAGGTTTTCTGTTGTTGCAAGTCCCTGAAGAGCCAATTATAATCCAAAAAGGCACAATCTTGAGTGCCATAATCCCAAATATTTAAATCCCAAAAGATCAAAATCTTGAAAATATAATTATGAAAGAAATAATTTTTAAAAACTCTTTAAAATATATTTATTTACATTTTTAAAGGGGGATTTATTGAGAAATTTATAACACAGGACAGAACATGTCATAGGACAGTTTACATAATAAAAGAGACAATAATAACATATATATATTTTTGCAAGCCTAAACGCTCAGGTATATTAACACACAGGTATACCAGCTGTGAGCAAATGAACCATATTCATAAAGTAATATGTCAAAAAGGGAAACTTATTAGCACATATCACTGTGATTTGTAATTGTGTGTACCCAGCTGTATAACTGCAATCACCTGAACTACAACAGACAACATGTCTTTTGACAAGATTGATTTTAAAAAAACTGCAATGAGTCACCACTGCATCAACCCTGAGTTAATCCCCCAAAGAACCAAGAACCAGAGAAATTTATCTTTCACAAATGCAGATGTACAAAAAATATCTCCTCACTTATTGAGGAAGTTTTTTGTTTGTTTGTTTGGTGTGTGTCTGTGTGTGTGTTTTGTGATGGAATTGTGTGTGTGTGTGTGTGTGTGTGTGTGTGTGTGTGTGTGTGTGTGTGTGTGTTTTGTGATGGAATTTCACCCTTGCTGCCTGGGCTGGAGTGCAATGGCGCAATCTCGGCTCACTGCAACCTCCACCTCCCAGGTTCAAGTGATTCTCCTGCCTCAGCCCCCGGAGTAGCTGGAATTACAGGCGCGTGCCACCACCGCCGCTAATTTTTTGTATTTTTAGTAGAGACGGGGTTTCACCATGTTGGCCAGGCTGGTCTTGAACTCCTGACATCAGGTGATCTGCCCGCCTCGGCCTCCCAAAGTGCTGGGATTACAGGCGTGAGCCACCGCGCCTGGCTAGAAGTTTTTACGTACACGTACAATGCTTACATACAAAGTCAATGTTGTGATAATACACTTTCATGGAGTCACATTTCAAAAAATGCATAAAGCAAATTAGAACTCTCTAAAAGTCTTTACACAATGTATAACTGCAGTGTTTAAAATGATGCAAAGATAAAAATACATAGCGTAAAGAATTGTAAAAAAAAATAATGCTGACAATTTAAAATAGTGAAAAAACCTAAAAAACAAATGACAACAAAAAAGTAAAAAAAAAAAAAAAAAAAGATATGAAAACGTGTACTACAGGCATAGATTATAGACAATTATTCAAAGATAGTCCAGAGGTTCTGGCCAATTTTTATGATCACTAACTATATTTTAAGGTATTGCATCATGTCACTTGAGGTCAGCATTTCGAGAATAGCCTGGCCAACATGGCAAAACTTGTCTCTACTAAAAATACAAAAATTAGCCAGGCATGGTGGCACACTTCCGTAATCCCAGCTACTCGGGATGCTGAGGCACTAGAATCACTTGAGCTCGAGAGGTAGAGGTTGCAGTGAGCTGAGATTGCGCTGAGCCTAGATCGTGCCACTGTACTCCAGCTTGGGTTACAGAGTAAGACTGTCTCAAAAACAGAAAGAAGGGAAGGAAGGGAAGGAAGGGAAGGAATGGAAGGGAAGGGAAGGAAGGAAGGAGAAAGAGAAAGAAAGAAAGAAAGAAAGAAAGAAAGAAAGAAAGAAAGAAAGAAAGAAAGAAAGAGAGAGAAAGAAAGAAAGAAGAGAAAAGAAAGGAAGGAAGGAAGGAAGGAAGGAAGGAAGGAAGGGAGGAAAGAAAGAGAGAAAAGAAAAGAGGAAGGGGAAAGGGAAGGAAGGAAAGGAAAGGATGGAAGAAGAAAGAAAGAAAGAAAGAAAGAAAGAAAGAAAGAAAGAAAGAAAGAAAGAAAGAAAAGAAAAGAGGAAGGGGAAAGGGAAGGAAGGAAAGAAAAGGATGGAAGAAGAAAGAAAGGAAGAGAAAGAAAGAAAGAAAAAGAAAAGAGAGAGAAAGGAAAGGAAAGGAAAGGAGAGGAGAGGAGAGGAGGGGAGGGGAGAGGTGAGGAGAGGAGAGGAAAGGAAAGGAACCCATTCCCTGGGCACTCATATGCAGACTACAAATTTGATAGAAACAATGCTGGTAACTGAATGGGACACTGTTGTGTAAGTATCTTCTTATCTTACCATGCACATACTTGTTTCTGAACCAGTCAGTAACTTTGCTGACTTCTTCAGGCAACTGCATGGAGCTTTAATTCATTAAAAGCTCCCAGAATGCCATCAACTGGAAAGAATGCCAATGCAGGTAAATGACACATTTTCAAACTAAAGTTTTCCTCATTGCCGTACCTCATGGCCAATTGATTCTTCTTAATTTTCTGTCAAATACACTCGGGTGAATGGAAAAAAAAACAAACTTTATTGGAAACACCTTGAAATTCATTTTTAGAAACCTTAATTGCACCTAATTCCAAATCTGTCATTATGGTTTGGGGATTCAATTGAAATTCATTTTATTCTGCATAAAGACAGTAAGAGGGTGCCAAGGTGCCAAGGTGTGCAGATCACTTGAGGTCAGGAGTGCGAGACCAGCCTGGCCAACATGGTGGAACTCCGTCTCTACTAAACATACAAAAATTAGCTGGGCATGGGGGTACTGCACCTGTAGTCCCAAGTACTAGGGAGAATGAGGTGGGAGGATCACTTGAAACTAGGAGACAGAGGTTGCAAGTGATCCAAGATCGTGCCACTGCACTCCAACCAGGGCGGCAGAGTGAAACTCCACCTCAAAAAAACAAAAAAAAAGACAATAACAAAATAATAGTTTCACCTGACATTATGCAATCAATTTGTGATTGTGATTTTTCAGGATTTTAGATGTTAGGGATTGTAGACTTTAGGAATTTAGACTTTAAGAACACTGATCTTTCAGGATTTTAGCATTCTGGATTATGGCATCTGGGATTGTGTTTTTTGGGATTACAATCCAAACTCAAAGGATCTTCTTGTCATCCACCTACCTTGTCATTTAACAGATGATATTAGTCAAACGTCAAACTATCTCAAAATTAGGGTTAGAATTTAAGTCTCTAGACTCCCAGTTTAGACAGTGCCCCATCCTACCCCTCTGCCTTCTTGTTGAGCCATTTGAGAAGAGGCCCTCGGAGTAGTGGTCATGGTAGTAAAAGATAAGGTCATGGCATGTCCATAAGGAGAAAGGGTAAAAGGGCATGACAAGGCACAGTCTGAGCACCTGCATTGGTATTGATAGCAGTATCTGGGGCTACACCCGTGGGATGTAGAGAGATGCTATCTTCCCACAGAGAAACACATACACAGAGGTTATGCTTCCTCTCACTAGAGTAAACTCAAATTCTACCTTTTTTTGGAAGCCCTCCCGGATCTGAATCTATCAAACAAAATTAAATTCCCATAGAATTTATTGCTTGAAACATTGTTGTAAAGATCAAGGGAGATAATGCATATTGGAATGCTTTGTAGAGGGTGACGTATTATAGTATTATTAATGAGAATCCTCAGTTAAATATGAGAATTCTTGCCTCCTAGACATGGTGTCTGCTTTGACATGAAAGGAAACATGAAAAAGATGCTACCATCTTAACCTGTGGTTAATATTTCTGAACTTTATTTATAGAATTAAAATTGAAGGGGGTCTATGAAGAAAGAGTAAATCAACTTAAACTGGCATCAGGATTTTGGCTTTATTGTCTATTTTCATCTTGGTTTATACATCATGCTCATAGTCTATAGTAGTTAATTTTCCCTTATATAACAAAATAAGGATAAGGTGGTCTCAACCGATTCTGAAAGGTTCTATCTAGCAAAAAGTGATATAGTCTCTCGGGTTGTTGAATTCCCAGAACATAACTAGAACCTCTGAGCTGTCAAATATTGGGTCGATTTCATCATTCTGTAGTAGATTTTTGACAACTGTCCAATGAAAAAGCTCTAAAAAAAAATGAAGACTTACTGAATCATATTTTTTCAGAGGAATTGCTTGACTCAGAAATGGTAGTCAGCACTAAGAGAGAACGAAAACAGATCTTTCCCTGATCTATACTGTGAAAGTAGCACAGAAGCACTTTGAAACTCATCTTCACAAGGAGCAGGTAACTTCCAAATCCTAATACAAATGCCAGGATCACTCAGTTCAATAAAACTCACCAGCAGTCAGGCATGCACCTTTCCATCTCAACCAACAGTACCGAAACAACTTAGAGAAACAGCCTGAACAGTGAAGAATGAAGCCCCTGGTTCACCGAAGTTCAATTTCTCCTTTAGAGTCTCACAAAGAAATATGGGCTTTAGAAGCAGCCAATTAAGCCCACCTGTCCCTGAGGAAATTCGGCCAGTTTATATTCATTGAGCAGTGAGTGGATGAAGAATCATCTGCAAGTTGTTCTCAGGGAACAGATTTCTTACATGAAATCAAAGTCCTTTCTTTGATGTATCTGCCACTACCCACAGTAACACCCCAGTGCCAGTCTTCAGAGAGATCTCCCTTACATAGTTTACAGAGAAAATACAGTATATCCACTTATGCTCAGCTACTACAAGCAACTGAAAAACAAACACACTCACTAAGACTCATGTGGACAAACCTGCTTGTACATATAGAAAATCTGAAGCAATGTCATCGTGTTTGAAAGCTGATAGACGTGTCAAGGTACTTCTCACTTATCACAGACAAAAAATAAAGCACAATTTACTTTTATTTATAAGCCCACCTGATTCTAACTCGAATAAGGAAGGGGAACAGTTTATTTCAAGATGGTCTTGTAGAGAAATAAGTTTTCATTTAACCTGTGGTGCTGTTACGTTCAAATGCTGCATTAGAGCTCCCTGATGTTGGGCAGTAGCCACCAATCACTGGAATACAGGCCTTAGTTACAAGTTAAGAAAATATTTGCCTTTGGAGCAACAAACATCAAGTGAGTTGTACAGGCCATTAAAGAAAGCCTATCAGAGACCATTTGGCCATTTGTCCATTGACCGTGTATGGTAATCTTTTGTCATTTTTAGAAAGAATAGGTCAGGAACTTCAACAACCCACCACTCTACTTCTTTCCAGGAGCTTGACACCATCATAATGTCTCTGATCTCAGAAACCCAAGTAGAAATCACCAAATCTCAAGAAGCGATTCATAAAGAGCTTACTCGGCAGACTTTCAAGTCAGAAACTGCTGTTGTCTATAGCCCTTCTATGCCACATTTACTTTTTTTATTGACAATGAAACTGTGAAAGGGCTATGTGGACCCTGGCTGCATCTTTTCTCAGCCTGCCTTGTGGGTGAGTTTCCCTGTACATACGTCTGTTATTGTACTTGGAAAGTGGCACCATGACTCTGTTTATGAAGACTGGTCCCAAAACTGGATAAAGTCCTAGAAGATTGTGTTAGGCATTCCCCCTTAGTTGCTGGATCATTTGTTGGTGAGGGAGTGTGTATAGGGCAACAACTAATAAGGTCTGGGAACTCAGGGAAGTGGCTGTTAATCAACTTGTACTCCAACACCTAGATATAATCATATAGTTTGCCCATCTCTTAGGTACTTGAAATCCAGTATTCTAGAGGGACAACTTTGATAACAAAAAGTAGCTGTGCCCATTAATAAAGTTTTGGTCCAGGTGAAGAGCACATACACTCATTAGAATACAGAGGATCAGCCCGGCAACTTGCAGGCTGTGTTTAGCACTCTCCTTATTTTCTCAAAGCCTTTGCTCTTTAGTGACATAGGGATGAAGATACCTACCTTGCAAGGGTGTGATGAGAATCAAACAGGACAATGCTGTTTAATTGGATGAAACAGAAATTATTCTGCTCAGCATTGTGGTTACAATGTAGAAGTTGTGCCGTAATTGCTGGAATATAATGATACACTAGAGAATATAATGGTACACTAAGCAAGATCTCATCCAATTTCCTCATTCTACAAATAAGAACCTCTGGGTGCAGGGATGTTTATAATTTCCAGTGGTTGCCCAATAGATTAATCACAAATTCAAAAGAGGAAAGCAGGTTTCCTGTCTCTCAGTGGAACATCCTTAACCCTACATTATACTATATCGCTTTTATCCTTTTACAAAGAATTTACCATAACTTTGTCCCTGTGGTACATTAACAAGTTATGCACTCATGTTAATAACTTTTTGCTGTAGAACACATAGTAGTGAATAGGGAAAAGTAAACAAAATGAAGTTTATGCATAAAGGATAAGACCTATAGGGATGTGCTTAATGAAAGGACTTGGGGTGTGAGATAGGAAATTCCAATTAAAATAGCACACACTTAAATACAGGCTATAACCCATTCTTTCAAGAATGTTCAGTCAGAATGGTGTTATTTTCTATTTCTTTTCCTACTAAATATTTGCCAATTATTTTTTGATGAGCTTGAGTGTCCAAAAGCTCAGGTAAGGGAATTTATTTTGACAGAACACAGATGATCCTCCCTGGGAATTGCTGCCACTAAGTCTTCTGTGAATCTGCATTCCTCTATCTGGCAGCTCCAAGAAGATATTTGTAAATAGCAACGTTAAGTAAATAGCCACAGCATGAAAAGTCCTTCCACCAGATTAGTACCATTCCTGACTGCTGGGGACGGCAAACTCGCATTTAAATAAAACTCCCAAATATGTCACACTGCTCCTCGCCTTTCATATATTTATCCTAAGTCAAAACAATGTCTTGTCTTTGGAGAACACAAAGGGAAACAAGCATCAGGCCTGGACTTTAGTCCCCTGCCCCACATCTTCTTACCTTCCCATCTATAAATGTGCAGTTTCATTGACGAAAGTTGTGTTTCTGCATATTTGTGTGTGATTTTTTTCCCCTATGCACAAACTGTCAATAGTTACTAAGGCAGGAGAACATGTTCTATCTTTCTGGAAGCAGAAAAATTAGTTATAATCTGTCAGATAACAACTGTTTATCAAGGAATTCTTCCAATTCTTCCAGGAGCACTAACCTTTGTTTAATATGTCGTTGATTTTCTAAACTGTTAAGTATGCCTTATAATGGTGAAAACCTACATGATACCACTCACTACATCAGCTAATATCTAGTTTATTAGAACATTAACATTTACCACTGACAATTAACTGACAAATTGCATGTGTATGTGATTTATAATGAGAGATTTGAAGGTGAACACAAGTTAAGTATTTTTAAATGGCATGTGGGAATGCTGTAGTGAAGCCTAGACCCTTCTTGTCCTTCCCTTTTCTTCTTAGAAGAAACAGACCAGTACTGTGCAAGTATGAAGCCCCTCCCCTCTGAGCTTGGTGAACTAATCTGCAATTAGCCATTGGAAAGCCTGTGCATAATTAATTAAACATTACTATTGAAGAAAGATGTGTACATGTGTATGCAGATGGAGAACTTGAGAATAAGATAAGGCAAAGTGTTCTAAACAATGAAAAAACATTGTGTTGCTCCATTGTTGGTGCAAGGTAAGATTCATGTTTATTCCTTTACAGGGACTATATTAGTCTGGTAGGGCTGCCAAAACAAAAATGCCACAGACTGGGAGATTTAAACAACAGAAATATATTTTCTCACAATTCTGGGACTAGAAGTCCAAGGTCAATGTGTCAGCAGGTTTTGTGTCTGGTGAGGCCTTTCCTCCTGGCTTGTAAACTGCCATCTTTTCACTATGTTCTTACATGGCCTTAGATCTTGCAAGTTTTTAGCCTTTATTTTACTTTTGAAATTTTTTGTTTTTATTAAATTATTGTACATACATTTGAGATGTGCCAATAGATATAATATGCACCATTTAAATCTTCAAGTTACAAATAATAAAATGATCTTTAAGATTGTCAGGTTTTTGAAATATCGTAAGAATCTATAAATGTACAATCATTTATTTATTTAAATAATTTTCTTCATTCAACATACATTTAATATCTCCAACTATTGACCTACTATTATTTCTATCATAGAGCTGTTGCTATATACTATTCAAAAAAACTAAAAATGTTTTTATAAATTGAACATGGAAAAAGACTACTGAATGTGGCAAAGCCACAATAATTTATATAGATGTATATGTACTTGCTTATGCATCAAAAATTTTTAGTGCATATGTCCCTCAAAGGCAAATATTTTAGTAGGCCGTCCCATCAATTGACTGGAACTTAAAAGTGTTTGATGATAACAATGCTTTCTTTTTGACAAAAATAAGTTGCATATTACTAAATTCAGATTAATATTTTACAAAGTACTTCGCAATTTTTTCACTATACGTTATTTCCAAAGTTAAAAACATAAAATAACTCTCTCCAATGAAATACTCAGATGAAATGAGGATCACATCCTTTTCCTATTTTACTTTTCTTATCTTTGTATTCTGTTTGTGGCTATATATGCAGATATCCTTGAAATTAGAAATATAGCCAGAGGGTTTTCCTCCTAATAAAATTGCATTTTAAATGAATATTAATAGCGTAACTTTTTATTTTTAACCTCTTTTATTACAAACATTTTAAATATATGCCAAAGTAGATATAGTAACATAATGAACATTCGTATTTCCATCAAATAGCTTCAACAAATGGCCAATATCGCTTTATCTATTTCTCCAACTATGTAATTATTTTGAAACAAACCCCAGACATCTTAAAACTTCTGTGAATACTTTACAGTGTATCTTTAAGAGATTACTATTTTTAAAAACATAACCACAATATCATTATAATCTCAAATAACAATAATCACTGTATACCATCAAATATTTAGCCACTAATCAAATTTCCAGTTTGGTTGGATTACTTTTATTTAATATCTCTACAATATTTTTTGTAGGTTTCCTCTCTCACTTTCATTCTTCAATTTATTTATTGAAGAACCTGGACCATTTTTCCTGGAACATTTTCTATACATTAGATTTTGCTGATTGTATTCCTATGTTTCTTTGTCTCCTGTGCTTACCATAAAATAATAGACTAAGCGATTAGGTTTTGTATTATTTTTGGCAAAAATGCACATAGTTGAGTTTTATTTTCTTTCTTGCACCATATCTGAAGGCATGTAAAAAGGGGTTGCTTTTCTTTTTGTGATTAATCAATAGGTTTAGGTGTTGCCACCTTCACCCATTCACTAAAAAGTTTCCCATGTGGTTTTCACTTACTGCTATCAGCAGCCATTCATATTTATTACAAAGATCCATTAATTACAAAGATCCAAAAATCTCTATTGTAATGTGGCAATATTCCAATCTAATTCTTAACCTTTAATACATTATTTAATAAATATAAATAAAGTATAATTATTTTCATTTCTTCTTTCAGGAAATTCCAATTTAAGGACTTTGCATTATTCTTCATAGCACTTATTTAAAATTATTGTAAGAGAGGTCCCTTTTTGTCTCTGTGTGAGACTGGTTGGTTGTGTACTTATAGAGGAGAGTTTTACTTCCATTTGAATGATAAGCTCTTGAGGGCAGGCAACAACACATCTTATATTTATTTTTATCTAGCACCTACCATGATGTAGTTTACATTGCAGACACTCAAGAAAGTCGTGGTAATTTGGTGGGTTAGAATGCTTTGGCACCTGCCAACCTCATCTTTGGGCCATTTCCTTTACCCTACCCCTCCTCCAAGTATGGCCCTGTTCATCATTTTTACCACATCATGTGGGATAGTGAAGTGTAAAGTCATTGATTGATAGTTGGTGTTTATGCATTAGGTTCTACCTCACTCTAGAAAGTAACTGTTGATATTTTAAATTCTGAAACAGAAAGATCCACTTGTGCTGGTGTCAACTATTCAATTAAAGTCAATCCATTTCTAACAAAGTTTTTAAAAAGGCAGAGATAAATAATTTACTGATGTTAGTTACTACTAACTACTAATGTCAGTTACTGCACAGTAGTATTTTATTCATTTATATAAAGGATCTTTAAAATATCTTTCAATATAATATAATATATAATATATATTAATATAATAATAAATTAATCTGAAAATGATTTTCAGGAAAGGAATACGTTGAGTCATTGTGTGATTAGTATCTCTACAACGTTTACATAGGGGTTTACACAAATAGGCAGTAATATTTATTACTGCTAAAACGAAATCGAAGACATATTACTGTAATACTGTAAGGAGTTCATGGTCCAGTCTGGGAGACAGAATCTATGGTGATAAACAAATGATAATACATATATAATGGTGTAGTCAGGATTCAGAGAACACTATTAGACCTCACTGAGATTGTTATAATTATTATAAGTCATTTGAGACTTTACCTCAGGAGAGATCAGTAAAAAATTTCTCCTCATCTCAGTTTCTAGAAGTGGTTATTATATTCCATGGATATGTAATGGCAGAATTTAGATCAAATTTTTATCAAAAGTTCAGATAGGACAAAAATGCCACATATGGATAGAAATTTCCAGTTTTCCAATGATAGATGACATCCATTTTTAAGTCAGTTTTAGTATCAGTAAATCAGTTTGAAAGGTTATATAAAAACATATGTCATAAACTTCTTCTTTACATCCCTTACTCAGAATCTGCCTAAATTAATAACAGAATTTTCTAGGCTTTGATGACAGGTTATTCTCAGGAAACTGCCACCACAGCACCTAACAATTCGATGTCATGATGCTTACTCCAGATTGAGTGCTACAGATTTGTTATATTCCTATTTGAGTTCAAAACTGAATAAGAAATGGCAGTTGCATTTTAATTTGAGGTAACATTTAGAAATGATTTAAGAAATGTGATTAATGACAACACAGATTTATTAGATTCAATTATTAGGAGGCTTGTTTTTACCTTTTTCATGTTTCAAGCAGGCACTAAATAATTCTGTCAACCTGTTATAAGACATTTATAAATGGCATTGCATAGAATTATTTACATGTCTCTTGAACATGATAAAGTACTTATCATAATAAATTATTATGGAAAAGGCAGTGCTATTAATCACTTGTTAAATGTTAATAACATTTACCAACATTTATTTCTTTTAAAGCAGCAAGAAAAAATAGGTATTTCTTTTTTTTCTGTAATATAATTTTTATTGAGACTGAATAAAGCATTTGAAACACTGAATGAGTCGTTTCATATACTAAATTTGGAGTTTTTCATTTGAGATAACAAAGCAGTGGGAAATCAATGCTATGACAACTAACATTTGACTATAAAACTTAAAGTATAATAATAATAAAAAAATTAAAACTCTGTATTCCAAAAAAAAAAATTGCTTCTTAGTTTTACTTCTATTTTAGACATTATCTACTGAATCTCTTCAATAGTCAATTTGGATGTTACTCCCTTTTACATTTTTAATAAAACCATGAGCATTTATCTTTTTTGCATTTTCAATATAATTTAATAACAACTTTTGGTTATATTGATATTTATTGTTTAATTGTACTTTTAAACATTGTTTTGCTGCCAAGTAAAGTAATAATCACATTAAAAAAAAAAGAAAGTTCCTATAGGTACTTTTTCATGTTTAGCATGTTATTCAATATTGTTTACAAGTATAAATTTACAACAAATGGAAATTTAAAAATAGGTATTTCATTTTGAAAAATTATCAACTGAAATAAGGATTTTATTATTTCCAGATTCCAGATTCTCAACTCTAGACTTAAATAGTTAAATCTTTTACCTCTTAAAAATTCTTGTATTTATTGGCTTTAATGTAGATGAAAATAACGTATTTGAGTTTTACAAAAATTTAGCTTCTAGAGTGCAAAAGCTTTTGAGAACGTAAGTGGGGTAGAAAAATTAAAACTAGATTGTATATTATAAAGCACTTTCTGTACTACTTAACCAGGAAAGCATCTAAATATTTATTCACTTTCCAATGTAGTACATTTATGCCATCTTCTGGCAATGGTTCCTCAAGCTGGGAATATTCAAATTAACACGCATCAAAATAACTTAATATTTCCTTACAGAGTCACTAGCTGACATTCCTTAAATAGTATGAAGTCCTGTAAAATTGGAACAAGGCCACAATAGTGGCTATCTTTAGTAAACAGAGAAAAGGTGATATTACAAAATCACTGTTACGTTAGTTGGCTAGTCCCAATATATCAGAACAGACGCTAAACATTCACAAAACCTGTAAAAGTTAAACATTTGGAAAACACCAAGTGTTCATGAAGAGATGTAGCAATGACAGCTCTATTTCACACAGTGCTGATAGAAATATAACTTGGAAAACTGAATGTGCCTCTCCAAAATTTCGTACGTTAAAACCCTAATCCCCAATATTATGGCATTTAGAGATGGTTCCTTTGGGTGGTAATGAGATAAGTATTTTTTTCCTTTTTTTCTTTCTAATTTTTGTGGGTACATAATAGATGTATACATTTATGGAGTACATGGGATATTTTGATGCAGGTATGCAAGGCATGATAATCACACCATTGAGAATGGGTTATCTATCCCCTCATGCATTTATCCTTTGAGTTACAAACAATCCAATTACACTCTTTTAGTTATTTTTAAAAGTATAATTAAGTTATTATTGACTATAGTCACCCTATTGTGCTATCAAATAGCAGATCTTATTTATTCTTTCTATTTTTTTTTTTGTACCCATTAACCATCCCCACCTCCCCACCCAGTTCCCCACCACCCTTCCCAGCCTCTGGTAACCAACCTTCTACTCTCTATGTCCATGAGATCAACTGTTTTGATTTTTAGATCCCACAAATAAGAGAGGACATGTAATATTTGTCTTTCTGTGCCTGGCTTTTTTCACTTAACATAGTGATCTCCAGTTCCATCCATGTTGTTGCAAACGACTGGATCTCATTTTTTTATGCCTGAACATGAATGTGGAAAAAACAGCCTTTCCTATAAGATCTGGAACACTACAAGGATGTCCATGTCATCACTGTTATTCAACATAGTAGTGGAAGTCCTAGCTAGAGATTAGCATATTTATTTTTAAAACATGAGTTAACCTGCTTCCTCTCTCTCTCTGTTCTCTGCCATGTAAGGACATAAGAAGATACAATGTAAAGATGTATAGAAGCTACTGTTTCAGTCTGTAAACCAGGAAGAGGGCCCTCACCAGAACTCAAACATGCCGACAACCTGATCTCAGACTTCCAGCCTCCAGAACTGTGAAAAATAAATTTCTGTCGTTTAAGCTATGCAATTTATGGTATTTTTGATAGAGTGGCCCAAACTAAGTTAGTATTGTCCAATAAAAGTAAATAAGATCATACTTTATGACTCACAACTTCACTCCTTAGTATATAACAAAGCAATACTAACTGCATTTATTTCTTTTCTTGGAAAGATAACTAGGTCACTTTATATCCCATCTAACAATATTTTATAAAATCTGGTTTAATGTCTGTAATCTTTTTCAATAGCTTGGTATGTAAACGAGGTCACTTCTTTTTCATCTCTTCAAATTTGATTGCTTAGAACTTCATGCATCCTGATTAGCAGTATGTCCACTTTCCCCTTTTTAAGGTCTTTTAGCTTTCATTAACCAAGAAAAGGAGAGTTTACTCGACACAAAAAAATCAGTTCTTCCCCCAAAACCTAGCCACACAAAGA